>NC_000017.11:8975959-9127474 GCF_000001405.40 Homo sapiens | reverse complement strand
GCCATCGTGCCAGCCTACATCACAGGACCTGTGTCCTCTAATGAGTGGCACCAAGCTCCTCAGTCACACAAACCCTTGAGAAGGACTCACGGGTCATTGCTTTCCTTCTTTTCGCTCCCACAAACAACCCACCTAGTTCTGGTGACACTGCCTTCCACACGGATCCCACAGGGGGCCACTTCTCACCACCACCTCTCCTCCAGCCAAGCCCCCGTCATCTCCCACCTGAAAACTTCCAAGGCCTCCTGGCTGTTCCCAGCTTCTACCCCTGCCTCCTGCAGAGCAACCGGGACAATCTTATTAAAACATAGCAGGTTCATGCCACCACCCAGCTCAACACACACCCCCTTAGCTTCCCTTTACACCTGGAATAAAATCCTAACTCCCTGTCCTGCCCCCCCCCGGCCCTACCACAATCTCACTCCTGCCCACTGCTCTGATCCCATGTCCCTAGGGCCTCCCTCCGCCTCCCTGATCCATGCACGGCTGCCCTATCTCAGGCCTTCTCCAGGATATGCATGAGACACGTGGTACCCTGCTACCAGCCTCCCTTCTCCCCTCGAAGTGAAAATGAGCCCATGAGTCCTTCATTCAAACACCATCCTGGTTCCCCATTGCCAAGTCAGCCAAATACAGCCCCCTCGAGCTGATATCTGCAACTTTCCACAGTGGGGTGCCCTCAAGGCCACGACTCCCAGTATACCTGGTTTGTTCCCTCTATCTGTGCTTGACTCCGCTGATTCCCACCTGTTCCTCTTTAGCCACAGCCCTCCTACCCATCATCAGAGCTGAATGCGAAGCCCTAATTTTTCCAGAACCTTCCCCAACAGCCACACTGAGCCAGAGCAGAAGGGGCCAGACAGGAGCATCAGCCTGAGGAGACCAAATGCAGCATTCAAACTCCTTTGATGTGCCCAGAACTTACCATACCCTTTATCTCTCTCTCTCTCTCTCTTTTTTCTTGAGATGGAGTTTCGCTCTTGTCACCCAGGCTGGGAGTGCAATGGCACGATCTCGGCTCACCGCAACCTCCGCCTCCCAGGTTCAAGTGATTCTCCTGCCTCAGCCTCCCGAGTAGCTGGGATTACAGGCATGCGCCACCACGCCCGGCTAATTTTTTGTATTTTTTGTAGAGACAGGGTTTCTTTATGTTGGTCAGGCTGGTCTCGAACTCCTGACCTCAGGTGATCTACCCGCCTTGGCCTCCCAAAGTGCTGGGATTACAGGCGTGAGCCATCACGCCCAGCCCTATCTCTCTTTTTATTTCCTTAGCAAACCAAATGATAATGAGGTAGGTCTGGGTCACCCACTGCTCATGATCCTATTCAATTCATTAAGTGCTATGTTGTTCTCTAATTCTTTCTTAAGGATTTCTCTTGTCTCCACCCCATGCGTCGTTCATTCAGCCATCCTGACTCTGCTTCTGCAATCAGGCTGGCTGGGGACGATGCCTGGCCCTGCCCCTTGTCAGCTAGACAACCTTTGACAAGTCCCTCAGGCTCCCTCAGCTTCAGGTTTCTCATCTGTAAAACAGACAAAACATTTAATGTAAAGACTGCGAAGATTAAATCAGATAATGTGATAAAGAGCCCAGCACAGTAAGTGATGGTAATAACCCGTATCAGTATCATCAGTTAATACACATTTATGGAGCATCCACTCTGCAGAAGGTCACGTGATCATGAATATAAAAAAAGATGAAAGAGCCGGGCATGGTGGCTCACGCCTGTAATCTCAGCACTTTGGGAGGCTGAGGTGGAGGGATTGCTTCAGCCCAGGAGTTTGAAGCTGCAGTGAGCTATGATTGCACCACTGCACTACAGCCTGGGTGACAGAGTGAGACCTCCTCTCTTAAATAAATAAATAAATAACCCTCAAATAGGTTCCAGACTGGGCAACATGGTGAGATCCCATCTCTACAAAAAGATTTTTAAAAATTAGCCAATCAGCCAGGTGCAGTGGCTCACACCTGTAATCCCAGCACTTTGGGAGGCCTAGGAAGACGGATCATCTGAGGTCAGGAGTTCAAGACCAGCCTGCCCAACATGGTGAAACCCCATCTCTACTGAAAATACAAAAAATTACCTGGGCATGGTGGCAAGCACCTGTAATCCCACCTATCTGGGAGGCTGAGGCAGGAGAGTTGCTTGAACCCGGGAGGCGGAGGTTACGGTCAGCCTAGATTGTGCCACTGCACTCCTGCCTGGGCGACAAGAGTGAAACTACGTCTCAAAAAAAAAAAAAAATTAGCCAAACATGGTGGCATGCATCTGTAGTCCCAGCTACTCAGGAGACTGGGGTGGGAGGACTGCTTGAGCCCACCTGGTTGAGGCTGCAGTGAGCCATGATTGTGCCACTGCACTCCAGCCTGGGTGACAGAGTGAGACTCTGTCTTAAAAAAATAAAAGGTGGATAAAAGGCCCTCATGGAGCTCCCCGCGTGCTAGAAGTATACAAAAGAAACACACATACACACTAACAACAACAAAGAGTGACTGCTAACATGTAGCATGTGCCAGGCTCTGTAAAATGCACACACATGCCGACTCATTTAATCCTCACATCAACTCTATGAAGCATTATCCTCATATTACAGATGAGGAAACTGAGGCACACAGAAGCTAAGCAATCCATCCAAGTGTCATAGCAGAGGCAGATCGGGGTGTAAACCGATGCCGTCATGTCCCAGGGTTTTGGGAGCTCAATCCCTTGACTCTGCCGCCGTGGCTGACCAGGCAAGGACAAGCACTGCAAAACGAGTTCCTTTTACCTCCCCACAGCATCTGTCATCCTCTATGACATGGCATGAGGTAGGTAGGTGCTCGGTAAATTAAGCTGTGACTTCTCACTAGGAGGCCTATGCAGGATTCCCAGTTCACCATCAGAGCCCCCCATCCTCGTCACTGTCATCATCGTCATCACTGTCGGAAAGGAAAGCACAGCTGAGTGTGGTCTGAGTGTGGCCCAAGCCCATATTAGGCCCTGCACAAGGTGTGGCCAAGCATCTCTTGGAAGTCTGGGCAGACCACCCAGCCGGCTTCCCACCCACAGGCCTGCTCAGAGTTCAGGAAGTGGAATCCGGAGAGAAGCCGGAGGGAGGAGGGCACACCACGACATGTCTGTCCAACCGACTGTCATGGCAACAGCCCAGGGACAGAGCGAGGAAGCCCCACGTCCTCTGCCACATTTCCACCCTGAATTCCCCACCTCTGGAAGGAAAAAACAAGGATTGTGCCCGGCACACCCAATTATGGAAGAAAAGCGTCTAGAAGTCAGAGAACATGAGTCAGAAGAGTGAGGCTGCTGATTTTTAAGAAAAATGGATGTGATTATGAGATGTGGTCATGGAACAGAGGGACCTGGTGACGCAGACCCAGCCTTTCCTAGGTGGCAGGCACTGCGTGATGGTTGGGGTCAGGGGACAGGCCAAAGGTTGCTAAGAAGACCTGAGCATTTGCTGGTTCAGAAGACAGCATCACTTCAGGATCCCTGAAGAAAAACTCTAAAAAAAACAGGTGACTTACTCTCACCAGCGAGGACAGTAAGCGCTCCCGGTGTTTTCAAAGATCTGGTACAACAACATGAATAACCCTTCACATTTTTCATGGTGTTTTACCACTTACAAAGCCTCCAGACATCCTAAAATGTATCATGAGACTACAAGAATCAGAACTGTGATAGGAACCAAGAGAAAACTTAATCAAACAGAAAGTCCACAATGAGAACCCCCAAAATGGGGGGTGGGAAATGGAGAGAAAATGACACACTGGGTAGTAAGTGGTGCTGCAGCAACTGGCTAACCATCCGAGAAGAACAATAGTTACACTTGACTTTCACAGCATGTACTGAGATATGTACATGTAAAAAGTGAAACCGTAAAGATTACTGGAAGAAAATGTAAGTGAACATTTATGGAATCTTAGGATCAAGAAGGCCTTTCTGAAGTATGATACTGAAAGTAAAAACTGTAAAATACGTATCTAATAGACGGCAACTTTAACTTTTATATGTCAAAAAGCACCATACATTTTAAAAAGTCAATTACAACCTGGGAGAAATACCTGTAGGACAAAAGATGGACGGAAAGTTACTATCTTTCATATGTAAGGAGTTCATCTTTTTGGAAAACTTATTAACGCCCCCATAGGTGATTCACAAAATATAAACTTGTGAAAAATGTTCAACCTGTCTTGTTAATTATCAAAGACAAATCAATGAAAACAATCAAATATCACTTTTTGTCTTCCAAGTTGGCCAACAGGTTTTTTTAGAGTAATTAATATGCAATATACCTGAGGAAACAAAGAAAAAAAATTCACACTCTATAAACTGGTATGACTTGGGGGAGAGCAAGATACAAACGCGTCAAAAGTCTTAAACATGTGCTTATTCCTTGAAGATGTACAGTTGCACATCTAGGAATTTATCTGAAGGGGACACTGAGAATGGCACAAAGATCAACTTAAAAGAGCACTCAGCCCAACAAAGCTTAGAGTGGAAAAAACCTGAAAAACAGCAAAATGTCCAAATTTAAATGCCTGATTAACGGAGTCATGGTACACCCACAAAATGCAATACAAATACTATGCAACCATGCAAAACTACAAAGCCGACTATTTAATAAAGTGGAAAGATGGAAACAATGTATTAAGTAAAAAGAAGTATGACTGCATATAGTGGAAACATACGCAAATAGAAAAAGGTCCACCAGGCAACAGACACACCACAGGGTATTAACATCGTCACTCTGGCTGGTGGGATAAACTGTTACTTGCGTTTTCTTCTTTTTGTCCTAATCTATATCTTATAATTTTTCTACACCAAATAGATATTGCCTTTGCCACATGAAAAATACAATAAGAACATAGTTTAAGCAGAAACAAAAGCACAAGATGAGGGGCTGGGCGATGCCTAACAACCCAACCACTGCTTGGTGTTTAATGCTTCCCGAGACCCACCCCTCCACTAGGTCAAACTTCACAGCACCCCTTTAATCTGGTTAAGAGGAGCACTGGGAAATAAAGACATTGCCCCAATCCCAAAGCCTCTCATTCAAGTCACCATTTGCTAGTTATGAACCAAACTGTAGAGGATTCTAGAGTTTAGGGGAGTGTTGCTGCTTTCAAAAAATGTAACTCAGAGGGCTGGGTGTGGTGGCTCACGCCTGTAATCCCAGCACTTTGGGAGGCCGAGGCGGGCGGATCATGAGGTCAGGAGATCGAGACCATCCTGGCTAACACGGTGAAACCCCGTCTTTAAACATACAAAAAATTAGCTGGGTGTGGTGGCGGGCACCTGTAGTCCCAGCTACTTGGGAGGCTGAGGCAGGAGAATGGCGTGAACCCGGGAAGCGGAGCTTGCAGTGAGCCGAGATTGCGCCACTGCACTCCAGCCTGGGCGACAGAACGAGACTCCGTCTCAAAAAAAAAAAAAAAAATGTAACTCAGAAACGAACTCCCTAGAACCCCAAATGCGTACAGAGAAAGATAATATCCCCTCTGCACTGACCAGATCATATTCCAGCTCTCCTGTATCAAGAAGGGCACTGGCAGATTGGAGGGTATTGGGGGAGGTGGCTGAGATAACAAGAGGTCTGAAAAGGTGACAGGAGGACTGATTTGAGGAAGTAGGTGTGGGATTGCCTGGGGAAGAAAAGGACGTGTGTGGGGAGGCTCTTTTTTGTAAGTGGGAGGGCAGCTGTGGCATCCAAGGAGTCAGTTCAACTCCACTCAGGGACAAACATGTTACTGACCAGAGCTGCCACCCCTGGGCTGGGGCCTTAGTGCAGCTGACCAGCTGACCCGGTGGGGTACCCTCCAGGCCACATTCCTATGGAGTAGGGTACGGATGGCTGCATGGCTCACAGGCACAAAAAATGTGGGGAGAGGCAGCGGGGCCTCTGCAGAGAGCATGTGAGTGAGCGCCAGTGATCACAGTGCCAGAATAACAATAATCCTACGTATGCACAGAACTGCCAAGAGGTCACAGAGAGAAAAGGAGCACCGGGGGTGAGTGGGAAAAATCACCGGGGAAGCACGCATTGGGCAGGCACGGATGAACAGAGAAGATGGGGGAGGAGAGCAAAAATAGGATGAGGTGCAATTGCCAGATATTATACTGTGGAAGGAAAAATCAGCTACCCCCGCACATCAAGGAGAGGGAGCGGCCGGGGACGTGCTGGTTCATGGGGAAAAGAAGTGAAAGTCACAAGGAACTTGAACCTGAATGTACACGGCCTCTAGGAAAAGAAGGAGAAAACTATCCTTTGGGAGGAAATGGGAGTTTCATCCCCAGTGAGGGGTTTCATGAACAAGCGGCTGCAGGGATTTTTAATGATGACATCCAGCTCTCCCCCCGACAGGGCCATCCGCTTCCTTCTTTTTCCTCGCACCACACAGTCCTGTATTGAGACAGGGGAAGCCCTCCATCCTGGTCCCACCACTTGGGATAATGTTCACCCTGAGGCTTAATCCTTGCGGTCCCTGATGGTTTTCTGTCTCCAGAAGAGCCAAAAATGTACCTGAAATGCTGAGGTCAAATCAGAGCTGAGTTCAATCACCAAGAACTGAAGTGACTCTTGTGAAAACCTGAGTATTTTTAAGCAAAAAGAAAATGGAAAGGAGACCTTAATATGAAGTCGAATGGCCACCTGGGTAGCAAGCAGCTTCCTGCTGTACAAAAACAACATGGGGGTAATGTAAGCCCCAGACCATGTCGCTATGACGCTGGGAAGGGGCTGGGGGGACTCCCTGGGACCCCCACCAACTCTGCCCACATCAACCCACACTACCACCAGCAGCCTCTTGGGGGCGCTTGCAGATGAACAGAATCCAGATACTAAGCAGCACTGAAGTCATCACCAAAGGCAGCCAGATGTAGGCAGCAGGTGCACCCCACCATAGGGACTTGGGGGAAATCAAATCAGAAGGGGTCAGGTGGGAATATGACCTGTGTGGGGGAGAAACCATCGCAGTCTCTCCCCAAGTAGGGGACTATTTGAAGAAAACTAAAGAAAATGTGAAGTCACCATGTTCCCTCACGCTTGGACATTTATGCAGGGCCCCCAAAATCCTTAACGTGGGGGAGAGAAGCCCAATGTGCCAAGTCTTGGGTACTCTCCCTAATAGTAAGTTGCACAGCATTTCCCATGGGCAAGGCACTCCTTCCAGGCACTTTTTTTTTTTTTTTTTTGAGACGGAGTCTCGCTCTGTCACCCAGGCTGGAGTGCAGTGGCATGATCTCGGCTCACTGCAAGCTCTGCCTCCCGGGTTCATGCCATTCTCCTGCCTTAGCCTCCTGAGTAACTGGGACTACAGGCGCCCGCCACCATGCCCAGCTAATTTTTTTAAAAATATTTTTAATAGAGATGGGGTTTCACCATGTTAGCTAGGATGGTCTCGAACTCCTGACCTCGTGATCCACCCGCCTCGGTCTCCCAAAGTGCTGGGATTACAGGTGTGAGCCACCACGCCCGGCCAGATAAGCACTTCTAAGAACTAACTTGTCAATTAAAACTGGGCAAAACATCTGTATAGTTACATCTCAAAAGAACGTATACAAATAGCCAGGAAGCCTGTGAAAAGATGCTCAACATCATTAGCCATCAGGGAAATGCAAACCAAAACCACAATGAGCACCACATCACACTCAGTAGGACGGCTAAAATAAAAAAAGGCCAGGCCAGGCACAGCGGCTCATGCCTTTAATCCCAATACTTTAGGAGACCAGAGCAGAAAGATTGCTTGAGGCCAGGAGTTCGAGACCAGCCTGGGCAATATAGTGAGACTGTCTCTACAAAAAAATTTAAAACCTAGCCAGGTGTGGTGTAGCATGCTTATAGTCTGAACTACTTGAGAGGCTGAAGCAGGAGGATCATTTACGCCCAGGAGTTTGAGGCTGCAGTGAGCCATGACTGCACCACTGCACTCCAGTCTGGGTGACAGAGACCTTGTTTCTAATAAATAAATAAATAAATAAATAAATAAATAAGCCAGGCACGGTGGCTCACGCCTGTAATCCCAGCACTTTGGGAGGCCGAGGCAGGTGGATCACCTGAGGTCAGGAGTTCAAGACCAGCCTGGCCAACATGGTGAAACTCTGTCTCTACTTAAAATACAAAAATTAGCTGGGAGTGGTGGTGTGTGCCTGTAATCCCAGCTACTCAGGAGGCTGAGGCAGGAGAATTGCTTGAACCCGGGAGGCAGAGGTTGCAGTGAGCCGAGATCGCACCATTGCACTCCAGCCTGAGGAACAAGAGTGAGGCTTTGTCTGAAAAATAAATAAATAAATAAATAAATAATACATTTTTAAAAAGACAAATAATAACAAGTGTTGGCAAGGATGTGGAGAAACCAGAACCCGCATACATTGCTGGTGGGAACATAAGATGGTTACAGCCACTTTGAAAAACAGTCCAGCAGTTCCTCAGAAAGTTAAACAAAGTTATGTAGGACCTGGCTATTCCACTTCTAGGCATATACCCAAGAGAAATGAAAACACATGTCCACACACAAATACTCATAGCAAGTATTATTCTCAATGGCAAAGAAATGGAAACAACTAAAATGTCCCTTATCCAGTGAATGAATACACAAAATGCAATATATCTCTACAATGGAATATTACTCAGCAATGAAAAGGAATAAAGTACTGATACATGCTACAACCTTGAGACTGGATAGACCTAGAGAGTATTATGTCACGGGAAAGAAGCCACACATAAAAGGTCACATATTATATGATTTCATTTCTATGAAATGCCTAAAATAGGCAAATCCAGGCAGACCGAAAGTAGAGCGGTGGTTGTTCAGCACTGGAAAGGGGGTGGGTGGGAGGAAATGGGGACTGAGTGCTGATGGGTATGGGTTTTATTTTGGGGTCCTAAAATCTATTATGGTGATGGTTGTACAACTCTGAATATACTGAAAACCACTGAACCGGTTTTTGTTTCTGTTTTTGTTTTTTAGACAGAGTTTTGCCCTTGTTGTCCAGGCTGGAGTGCAATGGCGCCATCTCAGCTCACTGCAAACTCCTGGGTTCAAGTGATTCTCCTGCCTCAGCCTCCCGGATAGCTGGGACTACAGGTGCGCACCACCACGCCCGGTTAATTTTTTGTATTTTTAGTAGAGACAGGGTTTTACCATGGCCAGGCTGGTCTTGAACTCCTGACCTCAGTTGATCCACCCACCTCGGCCTCACAGAGTGCTGGGATTACAGGCGTGAGCCACCGCGCCCGGCCTGAACTGTATATTTTAAATGGGGGAATTATGAGGCATGTGGATTATATCTCAATAAAGCTGTTAAAAACACACACACTTAATCCTCACATTGCTTGGAGGTAGACACTGACATTATACCCCTTTTACAGGTGACGAAACTGAGGCACAGAGGGAGTCAGTAGCATGCCCAAGGTCACACATACCTGGAAAATGGGAGAGCCTGGATTTGAGGCCACGTGGCATGGCCCCATGAGCTACGCTCTTGAGCGTTTCTAGAAATTGCTTGCAGCCCTGAGATAGGGCACCTGTCCCTTTTCACTTCCAACATGAGGGGGACAAAAAGGTGGCAGATGGTACCTCTCAGCCCTTTCCAACAGGCAGAGACTCTTTTTCCTACTGTGGAATCTGTCCTCCACCCACCAGTTGGGTGGTGGAGGCAGGGGATGACACGCCGTGCACATGGAAGCTTGTTTTTTTTTTTTTTTTGGTTTTTTTGTTTGTTTGTTTGTTTTTTGAGATGGAGTCTTGCCCTGTCTCCCAGGCTGGAGTGCAATGGCACAATCTCACCTCACTGCAACCTCCGCCTCCCGAGTTCAAGTGATTCTCCTGCCTCAGCCTCCCAAGTAGCTGGGACTACAGGTGTGCACCACCACACCTGGCTAATTTTCGTATTTTTAGTAGAGACGGGGTTTCACCATATTGACCAGGCTGGTCTCGAACTCCTGACCTTGTGATCCACCCTCCTCGGCCTCCCAAACTACTGCGTGAGCCACCGCACCCGGCCCACATGAAAGCTTCTTGAGGTAATGCTTTACTTGGTCCAGGTGCAGACCCAGGGCCAGTGACACTGTGAACCACCTGTCCTCATGCTTCTGAGGAGCGCAAGCCCAACTACTGGTGTCATCAGCCATTCTGCAAGTTTCCGCCCCAGGCCGGGCCCTTCCCTGGGAAGCAGAGTGTCCTCTGCCATCCTCCCTCCAGTCTGTGGCCCCTGCCACCAGGCAGCTCCTTCCCCTGGCTGCCAATGCCAATCTGCTTTATGTCCTCTCTGCCTCCCTGCCCTGTCTCTCGGCTTTCTCTCTATTCACGCGCTGTTTCCTTAGACGCTGCATTTTTTCCTATAACATCATGTCTGATCCAGACTTTCCTAAAAGCACCCTTTCACGCCTCACAGCTTCCCCGGGTGTCGCTCCCAGAGGCTCCTCTCCCCGCCCAGTGGGGCCATCCCAGCCCTCTCCCACCCCCCTCATTCAGGGAGCCACAATGCACATTTTCATATCAAAAGCCACCCCTTGTACCTCGG
This sequence comes from Homo sapiens, assembly GCF_000001405.40. Taxonomy (NCBI): domain Eukaryota; kingdom Metazoa; phylum Chordata; class Mammalia; order Primates; family Hominidae; genus Homo; species Homo sapiens. The sequence continues at coordinate 9,116,954 of NC_000017.11, read as the reverse complement.
CCACAAATCCTTCCTGAAAGCAGACAAGATATCCGACATCAACTGTTAATAGGATGTGCCCCATGCTTACAAATATTTCAATCCCATACTCGTCCTTTCATAGAGTGGAATATGCCTCCACCTTTCTCCTTCCTGTCTACCTTCTAAATAATACCTTTCTCATCACCTTTTCTGGAGAAGAGAAGAGGTATTTTCCCACAAGTTCTGTGAAAGGACAGTCAGTCCCCAAGCAACACAAACGCGCTCTGTACTGAGAGGCAATTGGAAGCTGACCTTCTGGGGCCTTCCTAGGTGACAATGAGAACGTGATGGATGGCAGTGTTTTCTGGGCCTGGTTTTCAAGCCGAGGCAGGCACCGTCTTCCGCAGCCCCACTATCTACAGAAAGCCCTGGGATTTTAAGCTTTGTCAGTGAAATAAGGGGAAATCAGAGAGATGTGGGGAGAGAAAGAGGGCAGGGAGAGGAGGGGGCCTCAGAAGGGTGCCCTCCACCATCGCAGCTGCCCCTCCCCGGGTCACAAAAACAAACAGCGAGTAGAGACTCTAGAAATCACCCAGCTCGACTTCTGGAGCAAAAGATGGGGAGGCTAAGGCCCAGGGATGAGAAAGACGTGGTGAAGGCCACACAGCAAGCTGGTGGGTGGGTGGGTGGGTGGCTCAAAACTCTGTGGCTGCTTCCTGACCCTCCCGGGGGCTCTGCCTACCCCACCATGCCGCCTGCCCATGCCAAGAGGCACCTGTTCTGCCACCCCCGTGGAATGTTCTGCAGAGCCACTCGCCTCTGTGGACAAGGGTCTAGCTGGCCCACAGCCGCTCCTCCAGGAACAGCAGAGCCCTGGCTAGGACCAAGAGGCAATGTGTTCGGTTAACCAAGCAAGATGACGACACCCACAGGCGGCTTTCTGGGGCTCTAAGAAGCTGCCACAATCTGCCCCCGGAGAAACAAATGCAGAGAGGTTGAAAGAAAGGGCCACCCAGCCTGCCCCTGGGGCCTCCGCCCCTTCGGCTCATGTTTGTTTTGTTTATGGGAGGAAAATTCTCCGACTGTTCATAGAGGGAGAAACACGAAATCCCTTCCTCCACGGCCTCGGAGACGGCGAGTACACGGCTGCTGCCGCCTCGCCAGCCCTCCTCCACCGCGCACGGCCGGCCAAGACCAGCAAGCCCCATCCAAGGCTGCCCCGGCGCCTCCAGAGACTCCGCCACGGCCCATCCGTTCGTTTGTCTCTGGGGGCTGCGGCCCCGGGAAATGTCAGAGCCGTTTGTCCCCGCCCCGGGGGGGAAGGATGAGTCAGGGCACAGACCTCGGCTCTTGCCTGCCCTCTGCTTTCCTTCTGAGGCCTCTGAGTGTGTTTGTGAAGCTGGTTTTTAAATTAACTCCAGTGCACACAGTGGGAGGGTTTAGAGCATTTATCAAATCCCTCTCCAGATTTCAGCCGGGATCTGTCCAGCTCCAGGAACGTCACGTGGATGAGGACACTGGTCCAGCCAGGAGCCCGGCTTTCTCTTCCCGACAATGAGCTCTGAGAAGGAAAGCCTTTAACTGGTGAGCAGGAGACCCCCGGGAGACCCTGGGGAACACATGCAAGGCTGACGCCAGCATTGTGGGTCTTTGGTGAACACCTCAAAACCACCTCCATTGCCTATTTGCTCACCCCAAAGAGTTGAACATCCTTGAACTCAAAAGTCTCTCTCAAAGGCTTGAACTTACTGAATCGGTATTAAGGTGCTGTCTGGCCCACCCAAATGAATGAGCTCAAGTTCATTAGTTTTTCATTCACCCACTTACACAGTCCTTTCTCTCAAGGAGCTGAGGCAGAAGGAGAGGGGAGCTGTCACAGAACTGACGAACAGGAGTTTGCACAGAGCAGAATTTTCTACTGCACCCCCGGCCTGGCGCCCCAGCATCCTGCCCCATCTTCCAAGCCTACCACTCATCCACCCAAGAAAAATGCAGGTAGCATCTTCTCTCACAGAAGCCTCCCACCATGTCAGGTTCTAGAAATACAGACTGCCCTTGGGTGGTTCACAATCCAAAGACAGACATGAACAGACAGATGGGAACAGCAGTTTCATAAACTCTGCAGGTCAGTAGAAACCAGGAGCTATGAGAGAAAAGAGGAAGAAGTGCTGCCCAACAGTTTATACTGGTAACATCTTTCATCCCACTTTTATTTATTTATTTATGGTTATTATTTTTTTGAGACACAGTCTCGCTCTGTTGCCTAGGCTGGAGTGCAGCGGCACAATCTCGGCTCGCTGCAACCTCCTCTTCCCGGGTTCAAGCGATTCTCCGTGCCTTAGCCTCCCAAGTAGCTGGGATTACAGGCACCCGCCACCACACCCAGCTAATGTTTGTATTTTTAGTAGAGACAGGGTTTCACTATGTTGGCCAGGCTGGTCTCGAACTCCTGACCTCAGGAGATCTGCCTGCCTCGGCCTCCCAAAGTGTGGGATTACAGGTGTGAGCCACAGTGCCCGGCCTCCATGTTTATCTTTTTTTTTTTTAACTCAAGTAAAACATCAATATATTTTTTTGCAAAAAATTCAAACACTACAGAAATAGATGCATTTTGTAATTAAAAGTAACTTTTATATACCTTATACACCCTAAATATGTTAATAGAATCATGCAAAGCTTTTTCTAAGTAAGCATATGCACATTTTTTAAAAGTATCAGACCCGTCATACTTACACTTGAATCTTCCTTTTTTTTCCCTTACTCCTTTTAAGTCAATAAATAATACACAATATCTGAATAGCTGAATCATATATATATATATATATATTTTTTTTTTTTTTCTTTTTTTTTGGCACCCAGGCTAGAGTGCAGTGGCGTGATCTCAGCTCACTGCAACCTCCGCCTCCCAGGTTCAAGCAATTCTCCTGCCTCAGCCTCCCGAGTAGCTGGGATTACAGGCACACACCACCATGCCCGGCTAATTTTTGTATTTTCAGTAGAGATGGGTTTCACTATGTTGGCCAGGCTGGTCTCAAACTCCTGACCTCAAGTGATCCGCCCACCTCGGCCTCCCAAAATGCTGGGATTACAGGCGTGAGCCACCGCGCCTGGCCTGAATCATATATATTTAATTTTATGTCTACATTAGAGTTTATTTAGCTCATCTCCCATCGTTGGACATCTTTTTTTGCTGTTATAAACAACATTGCAGTGAACATCCTTGAACAAAATCTGCCTCTTACTCTGTACCATATGGATTTTGATTCTGCAGTTGGCTTTTTCCTATACTCTCTCCCTATATGACATCTCTATTTCCATCTCATTCTGCTGCCTTCTAGTCTCGGACTGTCCTCTCCTGAGCAAAGTCTGCTTGGATTGCACAAAGAAAGTGTCTTCCTGCAATAAGAGGGTGCCAATCTCCTGACATGTTCTCCCGGAGCTTGCTGTATAATCATTTTCAGAAGCGGGCTCCTTCAGATACAGTTGATGCTCATTAGCTGTGGTATTCACATTCTATCAAGCTGCCATGAATAGTCAGCAAATAATGAACCATTGCTCCCAGGGAAAATACAGGGTTAAGTTCCTGTGAGCCTTTAGTCACAACATTTTCGCAAACTGGTCAGTATGTACCCTTTTTTTATATGTATTTCTGCTTTAAAAATACCGTATACAGGCCCAGTGCGGTGGCTCATGCCTGTAATCCCAGCATTTTGGGAGGCTGAGGTGGGTGGATCACGAGGTCAGGAGTTCAAGACCAGCCTGGCCAAGATAGTGAAACCCCATCTCTATTAAAAATACAAAAATTAGCCAGGCGTGGTGGCGGGCACCTGTAATCCCAGCTACTCGGGAGGCTGAGGCAGGAGAATCACTTGAACCTGAGAGGCAGAGGTTGCAGTGAACCAAGATTGTGCCACTACACTCCAGCCTGGGCGACAGAGTGAGACTCTGTCTCAAAAAAATAAAAATAAAAAAAATTCTGTATACAAAACGTATCATTGATTCACCAGCACTGAACTTACAGCCAAAAGCAATACAACTTCTTACCTGAACGAATCGTATCTAACACATTTTCTCCATAAAGCAAATCACAGTCTTCTTGAGCTTGGGGATGCTAGACAGCACTTTAGTACTGTGGAAGGGGGTGGGGTGCATTTTTTTTTTTTTTTTTTTGAGACGGAGTCTCGCTGTCACCCAGGCTGGAGTGCAGTGGCGCGATCTCGGCTCACTGCAGGCTCCACCCCGCAGCGTTCACACCATTCTCCTGCCTCAGCCTCCCGAGTAGCTGGGACTACAGGCGCCTGCCACCACGCCCGGCTAATTTTTTGTATTTTTAGTAAAGACGGGGTTTCACCATGTTAGCCAGGATGGTCTCGATCTCCTGACCTCGTGATCCGCCTGCCTCGGCCTCCCAAAGTGCTGGGATTACAGGCATGAGGGGTGGGGTGCATTTTAAACAGCAAAATCACCAAAAAAGAAGCATCAAAATGTGAAAATCGTGGCACCGAGCAGACAACGAAAAGACACTTGTTTACAGTATGAGAGCTGAAATAATCTCGCTGGGAACATGCACACCAGGTAACTCAAATTTTTCACCTCTCTGTGCCCATCATGAATGACCATGAAAGGGCCCTGAGTATTTATTTTGGGGTTACACAAATTGTAACGAATAGGTGAAGGAAAGGAATAGTATTGCTGAACCTCATTATTTGTGGATTCCATAATTGTAGAAATGTACTTGGTTTCTCTTTACTTATCTTCAAAAAGGCAGGATCTACAGCAGCTGTTCACAGAGTGTCCTGTCCTTGGCCCCACTGGGGCTCCCTTGCAGGGGATACAGCCACAGGCGCAGCTTCATAGCAGTGGGGCAGATCAATGGGCACAGCTAGGTTTCGCCTGGCTTGTACCTGTTCACCCAAGAGGCATCTTCCTTGAACACCCGTTATCTGTTTTCTGGGGACTCTAAATAGATGAAAAATGTGAAAATCCACAATGGCCGTTGACCACTGAATTTTAGTTCAATAGACAACTAAAATGTTCAGTTAACCATTGAACAACATGGGTTTGAATTGTGTGGGTCCATTTACAGGTGCCTCTGCCACCCCTGAGACAGTGAGACCAACCCCTCTTCTTCCTCCTCCCCCTCAGCCTATTCAACATGAAGGCAATGAGGATGAAGACCTTCATGATGACCCACTTCCACTTAATGAATAGTAAATATATTTTCTTTACGATTTTCCCAATAACATTTTCTTTTCTCTAGTTTACTTTATTGTAAGAATACAGTATATAATACATATAACATGCAAAATATGTGTTAATTGACTGTCGATGTTATCAGTAAGCCTTCCTGTCAACAGGCTATTAGTAGTTACGTTTTGGGGGAGTCAAAAATATCCAGATTTTTTATTGCAGAGGGGCAGTCAGTGCCTCTAAACCCCCTAAGTTGTTTAAGAATCAGCTGCATTGCCTCTCCTCTCTGGGGGAACTGTGCCTCCCAGAAGAACCTGCCTCTCCCAGATGCATTTTTCTTCCTTGACACCCCCTTCACCTCTCCTACCACCACCACCACACACACCTACACTTCACTTTTAGGCTAGCTATTCTCTGAAATTCATAGCATTTGCCTAGTCTAGTGGGTCAAATAATGACCCCCAAAAAGATATGTCCATGACCTAACTGCCTGTAAACGTGACCTTATTTGGACATAGGATCTTTGCAGATGTAATTAAGTCAAGGATCTTGATAAAAGATCATGCTGGGCAGGGCGCAGTGGCTCACGCCTGTAATCCCAGCACTTTGGGAGGCCGAGGCAGGCGGATCACGAGATCAGGAGATCGAGACCATCCTGGCCAACACGGTGAAACCCCATCTCTACTAAAAATACAAAAATTAGCCAGGCGTGGTGGCGTGTGCCGGTAATCCTCCCAGCTACTCGGGAGGCTGAAGCAGGAGAATCACTTGAACCAGGGAGTTGGAGGTTGCAGTAAGCCGAGATCGCGCCACAGCACTCCTGCCTGAGCAACAGAGTAAGACTCCATCTCAAAAAAAAAAAAAAAAAAAAAGATCCTGAATTTAAGGTGGTCCCTAAACCCAATAATGGGTGGCAGAAAAGGGAAAGACACATGCAGAGGAGAAGATCGTGTAAGACAGAGGCAGAGAGGCAGAGGCCGGAATGATGCGGCTACAAGTAAAGAATGCTACGGGTTGCCAGCAGCCACCAGAAACTGGGAGACAGGCATGTAGCAGATTCTCCCTCAGGGCCTCCAGAGCAAACCAGCTCTGCTGAGACCCTGACTGTGGACTTCTGGCCTCCTGAAATAGGAGAAAACACCTTTCTGCATTATTAAGCCACCCAGTTTGTGGTAACTCGTTAGAACGGCCCTAGGAAGCTAGCACACCTAGATAGAAAAGAGGCAGGAGGGGCTGGGTGCGGTGGCTCAGGCCTGTAATCCCAGCACTTTGGGAGGCCAAGAAGGCAGGTGGATCACCTGAGATCAGGAGCTCAAGACCAGCCTGGCCAACATGGTGAAACCCTGTTTCTACTAAAAACACAAAAAGTAGCCAGGCATGGTGGCAGGTGCCTGTAATCCCAGCTACTCAGGAGGCTGAGGCAGGAGAATTGTTTAAACCTGGGAGGCAGAGGTTGCAGTGAGCCAAGATCGCATCACTGCACTCCAGCCTAGACGACAGAGTGAGACTCTGTCTCAAAAAGAAAAAAAAAAGAGGCAGGAGGTAGGGGAAGGAGATGAAATTCTGCTCACCCCACCTCACCAGGCAGCACCTCAAGGGATGTCGTCAAGTTTTCTCACGGATACACACCCTGGGTTTTGAGTCAGGTTGCACCTGGTGGGGAAGCATCATTCTGCACTCGTTTAAGCATTTGATGAAGCAAAAATCAGGTCAGAGGATACAAAAGGACAGCAGGGGAAAAGGACAGGAACAGACTGGGAGAAAATAATGGCACCATGTACAACAAAGGACTTGTATCCAGAATATACAAAGAACTCCAACAAATAAATAAGAAAAAGACAACCCAAGAGAAAAGACACACACTAGCTATGAATATGCATGTCACAGCAAAGGAAACCTAAATAGCCAATAAACATATGAAAAGATGCTTAACCTCACAATAATCAGACATATGCAAATTAAATCAACAATGCAAATGCAAATTTAAACCACACACCATCGGAATGGCAAAAATACACAAGTCTGACAATACCAAGTGTTAGCCAGAATATAGGCCGATGAAAATTTCCACATAGAGCTGGTGGGAATTGCTGCAATCACCTCGGAAAGCAATTTGACAATATCTAGTAAAGCTGGAAATGACCAATTTATGCCTCTTGGTATCTACCCTTGAGAAATCTCATTCATAACCCCAGGAGATATGGACAATGCTGCTTATTGCAACAATGTTTATAATAGGAAAAAACTGGGGAAAAGCTGACTGGCCATTGATAGAAAATGGATACATTGTAGCTTGTTTATACAATGGCATGGCAACCATATACTGCTTATAATGAATGAAACGGAATTCTATGTAGTAACATGGATCTATCTAATAGCACAGTAAGTCAGGGACTGGAACATCCACTAAAATATCACTTAGATAAAGTAACTCACAGACAACACTCTGTATTGTGCAAAGATGCATACATGTAATTAAAGTGAAAAACAGAGAAAGATAAACTGACTATACTATTTGTTTCTGGGAAGAAAGAAATTGAATGGAACTAAAAAGGAAAATGAGAAGTATTTCAAACTTGGCAATGTTCTCTTATTATTTTAAAAAAAGGTCAAAAAGAAAAACACTTCAGGCCAGGCACTGTGCCTCACGCCTGTAATCCTTGCACTTTGGGAGGCCAAGTTGGGAGGATCATGAGGTCAGGAGTTCGAGACCAGCCTGATCAACATGGTGAAACCCCGTCTCTACTAAAAATACAAAAATTAGCCGGGGGTGGTGGTGCACAGCTGTAGTCCCAGCTACTCGGTAGGCTGAGGCAGGAGAATCGCTTGAACCCAGGAGGCAGAGGTTGCAGTGAGCCGAGATCACACCACTGCACTCCAGCCTAGGCAACAGAGGGAGACTCTGTCTCAAAAAAAGAAAGAAAAGAAAAGAAAGAAAAAGAAAAAGAAAAACATTGAAGAGAAAGATATAACTATCCTGTGAAGGAGAATACTGTAACTTCCTAGAGAGTGGGCAGATAAGACAAAGTGTTCTAACTATGCTGAGGACAGAAAGGACCACCAGCCAGCCTTGGGACACCTTCCTGAAGGAGGTGGCGCCAGAGCCTTGAAGGATGAGTGGGCAGGATTTGGAGATGGACCTGAGGATGCCTTCTATACCACCCCACATCTGCTTTCCTGGGCATTCTGGACCAGTCTCACTTGCTATGTCTACTGAATAATGTTTTAAGTTCTCAAATTTTAATACAAACTATAAATGAGTTGAACACTCTATCTTTCAGGATACAATGACCTGTACCATGGGGTGTCTGTGGATTATTTGATCAGCATCCAAAGGCCAGAAAGTCGAAAACCCTCCCCAGACTTCCTCACAGTAGCCTCTGCGTGTGACTCCGGCTCTGCTGATTAGACTTTGATGTGAAGCAGTAGGGAGAGGGCCAGGGTACGAGGCACCCCTTCCTGGGGTGGATTGTGCCAGAGCTATGGTTCTGTGGCTGGCTGCATGATAACATCCCCACCGCCTGCTTCTGTAACTTCCTGATTGTAGCAGCCTTGGTGATCTGTCTGGGGAGCAGGTTGGGGAGTTTGTTCCTGAAAGCTCAGCCCAGAGTCTTTTCTTCAGCCTTCCCAACAATTCTGAGAGTTATCCCAATTCGCATGAATCCCTTCCTCCTTGAATTAGTGGATTCAGTTATTTGTAGAACCCTAACTTACACAAGTTCACTGAATGTTTCTTTGTGCCAAGCCTATAATCTTTGATTACATTCTTTTTTGTCATGAGCCCACAGCCCCTGAGCTAAGCAAGATTTCTTACCACTGTGATCAAACTATGTTTGATGAATGAGGGAGCCAGTGAATAGATGGGTTTCAAGCATTTATGACAAACAGCAGAAAGAAAACTTAGGAAATGTTGTCCAAAAAGGTATCAGGCCAGGGTTTGGCAAACTCTTTTCTGCAAAGGACCAGATAGTAAATATTTTGGGCTTTTCGGCCCATGCAGTTTTTGTCACAGTGACTTAACACCGACATTGCAGTGCGAAAGCAGCTATAACAGTACTTAAACAAATGGGTGTGGCTGTGTGCCAATAAAACTTTATTTACAAAAGTAGGTGGCCAGCCAGATTCTGCCCATGGACCATGGTTTGCCGACCACCACCCACTGTAGGCTACAAATACAATAAAACAATTACCAGAATGTCCCCAGCCTGTGGAGAAGTTCAAAGAAGTCAGCCACAACCTGGGCTTCCACATCCCATTTCCAGCTGAATGAGCCAGGGGTCTAAGTCAGTGGTTCCACGTTCACACAGCGTTCCTCCCGCACCCCCAAACTTTTTTTCTTTCTAACAATGTATAATCTGGAAACAGTCATAACCGGGGAGTAAGTGCCCACATGTCTTTCACATTTTTTGCAACAGCATAAATCACATTTTATCTGAGCATCTAAGATTCTTTTCTCTCAACTGACTGAGGTGCACAGAATTTCCATTTCAGTCTTTAATTAAAATACAGTTAAAACACAAAATGCATATGGAAATTAAATTGGTACAGACATTAGTGTTGGGATTACAAAATGTCTCCAAACAGTTTCACATATGGTAATAATAGCTAAACAAATTTGGCGCTTAAAGGATAACTTCTGCCTCAGAATCATAGAGTTGGAGAGTGTCACAAATACAAGATGTACTACAGTTTTACCTAATACCCCAAGTGTAAATAAGTGTGCTGCTGGGGTCACATGGGGCTTTGACCCAAATTCCACCCCTTCTTTTATCTAGATGAGGGACCACGAGTACATTATCTTTCTGCTGCTCAGCTTCCTCAGCTTTAAATGCGATCAGTATGTGGTTGGTGTGACAAAGGAAATAACCTAAGTGTTTAGCACGGGGTATGGATCCCAGTAAGTGCAAAATAAAGGATCTGTGCTGTGATGATGATGATGATGATGGTGACGGCGAAGATACAACAAAAGGTTCTGAAATGCCATTTTGGGGCCCAGTGTGGTGGCTAATACCTGTAATCCCAGCACTTTGGGAGGCCAAGGCGGGTGGATCACCTGAGGTCAGGAGTTCGAGACCAGCCTGGCCAACATGGTGAAACCCCCGTCTCTACTAAAAATACAAAAATTAGCCGGGCATGGTGGTGGGCACCTGTACTCCCAGCTACTTGGGAGGCTGAGGCAGGAGAATTGCTTGAACCCAGGAAGCGGAGGTTGCAGTGAGCCGAGCGTGCACCACTGCATTCCAGCCTGGGTGACAGAGCGAGACTCTGTCGAAAGGAAGGAAGGAAGGAAGGAAGGAAGGAAGGAAGGAAGGAAGGAAGGAAGGAAGGAAGGAAGGGAGGAAGGAAGGAAGGAAATGCCATTTTGCCAGATGGCAAATCAGTGGTCAGAACCAAAACTACATGTAGGATATTCCGTTCCGTGTGCTAACTCCGAGGCAGGCCTACAGCTTCACACTTCAACCATCTTTGGTTGATAATAACTCACACAAAAATTCTGCCCCCAAGATACAAAACACAACCAGATTTGCCAAGGCACAAACCCTGAGTGCCAAGAGTCAGGTACGACTGCTCCATCTCACCCGCAAGGCAGGTGAGGCAGTGGGCTGGAAGTCCTTCTCTGCAATTAACCACCTGTGTGATCACAGACAAGTCACTTCCCATCTCTGGACCAGGAAGTGTGGTTTATTTAGCGCTTCTCCAACTTTGATGTGCAGATTCTGATTCAGCAGGTCTGGGATGGGGCCCAGGAGTTTGCATCACTAATAAGTTCCCAGGCGATATTGTTGACGCTGCTGGTTGGGGGGCCATGCTTTGGGAGTAGCTGGTCCAGATGGTCTCTTGGTTTCCCCACTCCCCATCCCCACCCAACTAGCATTTCTTTTTTTTTTTAAATCGGAATACCAGGGTGTGTCTGCTCACCATTCATTTCCTCTTCCTTCCCTTCAACCCACCTCCCTCTGTCTTTAGGCTGCCTACTTATCCAGCTCACCTGCACATTTGGGGGACTTGGGGGAGGGGGAGGATTCCCACAGTTCTAAAGAACCAGTGACAAATTGGCTGTACTCTACCAACTGCGTGAGGTCAAGGAGGAGAGAAACAGAGAGAGACAGAGAGACAGAGACAGAGAGAGAGAGAGAGAGAGAAAGAGAGAGAGACAGAACAGATCTCAAGGAACCAAACATCTTTTAGGAGAAAATCCTGTTTCTCAGCTAGGCGCCCTTACTCCCACCCCTGTCCCCACAGGAGCCAGGGATAATATCATGAACACTGAAGAACGCCCACGTTTTGACAGATTTATAACAAAGCCGTCTCCACAGGAAAAATGATTCTGGATTAATGCCTCCTACATCCACCTGCCAGCTGGGAGCATTCTTTTCTCAGCCCCCAAATGTTCCTAAGCCTTTTAAGGCCACCATTCACACACACACACCAGGCTCCAGATACCTTCAGAAAAGGCCCGGAGAGGTGACAGGACACCTAATGAATAAGCCTGGGGTGGGGCAATGCAAAGGGAAGAAAAGCTGGATTTCCTAGGACTGGGCAGATGGAGCAGACCAAGCTGACCCAAGGGGGCTGGCCCTGGAAATCCGGCCCAGGTGTGGTGTCTTCCTGGGGGCTCTTCCTAAAGGCCAGGTGTCAGAGGGCAGCATTCTTTGGGAATGTCCCTGCTGGTAAAGGGGCTAACACCACGTCTTTTCATTCTGAAATGGACGCTCAAAACAAAACACCTGTCCTTGGACTGCCGGGTCTCTCACGGGCCCCACATGGCCAGCAGCCTGCTCCCACGGTGAGACCCAGCCATGGGTCACCCCACCCCTGCCCCACTCAGAGGCACTCACCATCACAGGGGCCTCGGCCTGGTACAGGAACACCTCGTAAGTGTTGAGGAATCTGGCTCTGACTCTGAAATGTCCTGTGAGCAGCAGGTCCCTGGCTGTCAGGTCAGGACTGTGGCCAACCTCGCACTCCCTAGAATAAAGCCCACGTGGGAAATCCTTCCCTTCCGTGGGCCAAATCGCCCCGCCTAAAGTCTCCCTGTCTCCAGGACCTGACGGGAAAGCTGTGCAAGTTCAAAAAAAGGCCAGACCAGGGTGTCATGGTGTTGGACATTCAGCTTTGACGTGCCAGCAAGAGAGAGCGGCTTCATGCCAGCTGGCCCGAGCACCCTCAAATGTGTCGGGCCTGCAGGTCAGCCTTGTGCCCAGCAGGGCTGACCCTATTGCTACCTCCAAGGTCACGCTGGGTCCTTTCCCAGTTTTCCAGACCCCCTCTGCTCTGCCCTCACAGCTCCCCTGCCGGGCTCCTTCCCAGGCCCCGAAGCACAGGAAGCTTTGTACGGCCCATTGCTTCTGCTCGTGTGTCTTTGTCTGTATGTATGTTGTGTTATTATCTGCAATCATCTATTGCAATCACCTATCTTTGTACTATGGTAAAATGCACAAGAAATTTACCACCTTAACCATTTTTAAGTATACAGTTCTATGGCATTAAGTACATTCACATTGTTGCACAATCATCACCACCTCCATCTCCAGAACTTTTTCATCTTCCCAAATTGAAACTCTGTACCCATTAAACACTAACTCCCCATTGCCACTCCCCTAACCTCGGGCAACCACCATTCTGCTTTCTGTCTGTATGAACTGGACTACTCTAGGTGCGTCCTATAAGTGGAATCATACGGTACTTGTCTTTTTTTTTTTTTTTTTTTTTTTGAGATGGAGTCTCTCTCTGTTGCCCAGGCTGGAGTACAGTGGCACCATCTTAGCTCACTGCAACCTCTGACTCCTGGGTTCAAGTGATTCTCGTGCCTCAGCCTCCCGAGTCTCTGGGACTACAGGCATCCACCATCACACCTGGCTAATTTTTTTGTATTTTTTAGTAGAGATGGAGTTTCGCCAAGTTGGTCAGGCTGGTCTTGAACTCCTGACCTCAGGTGATCCACCCACCTCGACCTCCCAAAGTGCTGGGATTACAGGCTTGAGCCACAGCACCCAGCCTAGTACTTGTTCTTTTGTGTCTAGCTTTTTTCACCAAGCATAACAGCTTCAAGGTTTATCCAAGTTGTAGCATGTGTGAGAATTTCCTACCATTTTAAGGCTGAGTAATATCCCATTGTATGTTGTATTAGTCCATTCTCATGCTGCTAATAAAGACATACCCGAAACTGGGTAATTTATAAAGGAAAGACGCTTAATTGACTCACAGTTCACCATGGCTGGCGAGGCTTCAGGAAACTTACAATCATGGCAGAAGGGGAAGCAAACACATGGTGGCAGCAAGCAGAAGTATAGACTGAAGGGAGAGAAAAGCCCCTTATAAAACCATCAGATCTCATGAGAACTCACTCACTATCATGAGAACAGCACGGAGGCAAACTCCCCCATGATTCAATTACCTCCCACTGGGTCCCTCCCACCACACATGGGGATTATGGGAACTACAATTCAAGATGAAACTTGGGTGGGGACACAGCCAAACCATATCACATGTATAAACCACATTTAGTTCATTCATTCATCAATCCATGGACATTTAGGTTGTTTCTACCTCTCGGCTCCTGTGAATCATGCTGCTATGAACATGGGTGGTACAAATATCTGTTCCAGTCCGTGCTTTCAATTCTTCTGAGTATATACCCTGTCAATCACTTTTTAGCTTTTTATTGACATATCAAATTGGTCAGAAAATTTTTTGCTCACAAAGCATACTGCTCATGGAATTTTCACGAACTGAACACATCCATGTGAATCAGCCTCAGGCCAAGAACCAGAACACTATCCCCCCACACTCACCATCAGAAGCCACCTCCTGCCACCTCCTCCACAGTCACTACCCTCCATCCAGCCAGGGTAGCCAATATCGTGACTGCCAACAGCATACATTAGCTTTGCCTGGCTTTGCACTTGACATAAATGGAATCGTAGAGTATGCATCTGGCTTCTTTTAGTCAACATTATGTTTCTGAGTTTTGACTACTTGTTGCATGTAGTTATAGGCTATTCATACTCATTCCTGTATAGCATTCCACTGTATGACATATCACAAGCTACTTTTCTATTCTATTGTTGATGGGCATTCATGGACAGTGTCCAGTTTGGGGCCATTATAGGAGTGTTACAATGAACATCCTAACACATGTCTCTTGGTAAATATATGGACACATTACCAATGGGTATAAACCCAAGAGTGGAATTGCTGCGTTATAAGATGGGCACATGTCAGCTTTAGTAGATGCCGCTGATATGGTTTGGCTGTGTCTACACTCAAATCTCATCTTGAATTGTCGTTCCCATAATCCCCATGTGTTATGGGGATATGGGAAGGACCAGGTAGAGATAATTGAATCATGGGGGCAGTTTCCCCAATCCTGGTCCTGTGATAGTGAGTTAGTTCTCACGAGATCTGATGGTTTTTTAAGGGGCTTCCCCTTCACTAAGCACTCATTCTTCTTCCTGCCGCCATGTGAAGGACATGTTTGCTCCCCCTTCTGCCATGATTGTAAGTTTCCTGAGGCCTCTCCAGCCATGCTGAACTGTGAGTCAATTAAGCCTCTTTCCTTCATAAATTACCCAGTCTCGGGTATGTCTTTATTAGCAATGTGAGAATGGACTAATACAGCCACAAAACTGTTATTTGATATGTTTATACTCCTGCCAGCAGAGTATTTTATCAACACCTGATATTCTTTGTCTTTTCCCATTTTAGGCACTCTGATAGTGCCTTGTGGCTCTAATTTGCATTTTCCTGATGATTAATGGAGTGGAGCACCAGATCATGTTTATTATTTCCTCTTATGTTTTGTTTTGTTGATACAGTCTCTCTCGTTGCCCAGGCTGGCGTGCAGTGATGGGTGCAATCATAGCTCACTGCAGCTTCCAACTCCTGGGCTCAAGCAATCTTCCTGCCTCAGCCTCCCAGCAGCTGGGACTACAGGTACACAGCACCATACCTGGCTACATTTCTTATTTTTTGTAGAGATGGGGTCTCCCTCTATCACTCAGGCTGCTCTCAAACTCCTGGCCTCAAGCAATCCTCCTGCCTCAGCCTCCCAAAGTGCTGGTGTGAGCCACCACACTGGGCCACCCCTTATGTTTTAGGTGCAGTTCACAATCCCCCAATAAGAAGGCAAGGCAGGGATTAGGAAGAAATCCTGGCTTGTGCTGTGTTGTATAAGACAAGGCTAAAATCCCCACTCACCTGGCCAGGTTGCTGTCATGGGCCCTGGACTGGATTAGTCTCAGCTGGTCTGCTTCTCAATCACTGTGTTTGCTCATAACAGGGTCCCAAGGGCCAGGACTTCTGCCAAAAGTGCCAGATGTCACAAGGTTGGCAGTGGCAGATACAAAAAGCCAACAATACCATAAATACAAGTGTGCAATTCTTCAGAACAACAAGTTTCTCTTTGGGACACACATCTCAAACAACACGGGGAATTCCAGTCAGTAGAGGAACAAAGAGTAACCCACGTCTGGTCTTGTTTAAGAGTCTCACGAATCAACTCCCTGAAATAGACTGGATGCTTTGGTCCACCCAAATCCAATTTAATTCAATCCAGCAAATGTTTATTGAGGCCCTACTGTATGACAAGCATTGAATTAGAGAATCTTAGGGTCGCAGACATGGAAGATGGGTCTAGCCCTCAGAAAGTTTACAGTCTACATAAACATAACTACAAGATGAAATGTGATAAACACCACAAATAAGGTATTAACATAATCCAGGCAGAACATAATGAATTTAATAAAGAGAAAATGTCGGGTGATACAGAATCAAGGCAACTTCATGGAGAAAGAGGAGTTTGAGATACTCTGAACTACAGGCAGGAGATCTCAATGGTAGGAAACTGGTAGGGAAGGCCCTCCAGGAAGGGAGGAACAGCATGAACTAAAACAAAGAGGTCAGGAAAGTGAAGATTGGCTGGAGAAAGTTTCAGTTTGGCAGCAGAACCACAAAAGCAAACCCCATGAAGAAAGATACTAACTGACAGGATGACATAAAAACTAACCATCTGATTAAAACAACAAAAAAACTCTATAAATAGAAATAAAAGGCAAACATCATATTGGAAAAAATGATTTGCATTAAAAGGTAGACAAAGGAGATTGTTTACATGAATTCTAGCAATCCTCAAAAAGATGAGGTAGTGCTATACACATGATATAGTTCTTACTGACCAGATAAGATATGCATATGCAGATAAGGCCAGGCGCAGTGGCTCATGCCTGGAATCCCAGCACTTTGGGAGGCCAAGGCAGGCACATCACGAGGTCAAGCGATCGAGACCATCCTGGCCAACATGGTGAAACCCCGTCTCGACTAAAAAAAAAAGACAAAATTTGGCTGGGCATGGTGGCACATGCTTGTAGTCCCAGCTACTCGGAAGGCTGAGGCAGAAGAATCACTTGAACCTGGGAGGTGGAGCTTGGAGTGAGCCGAGATCGTGCCACTGCACTCCAGCCTGGGCAACAGCGCGAGACTCTGTCTCAAAAAAATAAATAAATAAAGATATGCATGACATATTGCTGAGCAGAAAAAGCAGGTTACCAAATAACACAGAGTAAAATGCATGCAAAATTATACAAAAATTATGCATATATATGTAAATATATATATACACACATATACACATAGCATATACAAGACATCAAGCAAGATGTTTCGAATAACTTCCATCAAAATGTTAATGAGGCTGGGGGTGGTGGCTCATGTCAGTATTCCCAGCACTTTGGGAGGCCAAGGTGGGAGGATCATTTGAGCTCAGAAGTTCAAGACCAGCCTGGGCAACACAAGTGAGACCTTGTCTCTATTTAAAAATAAAATAAAATAAAAACATTTTTTAAAATGTTAATTATCATTGTTCCTAGGTGGAAAGGATTACTCAGTACATTTTTCTTCTATATTTTGTCACATTGTTTATTTAAAATAATGTATATTATTTTAAATTCAGAAAAAGGTGATTTAATTTTTTGAAATAACATGTGCAGCAACTATTTTGCCTATTACATAGGTAAAGATTTTTTAAAACAATAATGGCTATTGTAAGAAAGAGTTCAAGACATTCTCATAATATTTCTGGTAGAAACATAAATGCTTTAATCTTTTTGGAGAACAAATTTAAATTTAAAATATGTTCATCTTTTGAACAGACATTTTACCTCCAGGAATTTATTATGAGGAAATTATAAAACTATACAAACACGTATCTATGATGTTCATTGTAGAATTTTTTAGGTAGGAAGGAAGGAAGGTAGGTAGGTATATAGGTAGGTAGGAAGGAAGAGAGGGAGGGAAGGAAGGAAAAAAACTGGAAATAGCTGAAGTTTCTAACAACATGTTTGGTCAAATAAATTACTCTATATTCATAAAGTGAGAGTCAATGAGATTTTTTTTTGTTTTAGACAGAGTTTCGCTCTTGTTGCCTAGGCTGGAGTGCAATGGCGCAAACTCGGCTCACTGCAACCTCCGTCTCCCGGGTTCAAGTGATTCTCCTGCCTCAGCCTCCGGAGTTGCTGGGATTACAGGCATACACCACCACACCCAGCTAACTTTTTTTGTATTTAGTAGAGACAGGGTTTCAACATGTTGGTCAGGCTGGTCTCGAAATCCTGACCTCAGGTGATCCACCCGCCTCAGCCTCCCAAAGTGCTGGGATCACAAGCGTGCGCCACTGCGCCCGGCCAATGAGACTATTAAAACAATGTTACAGAATATTTAACAACATGGACAAAGTGTTTCCCATATAGCAAATGAAAAGCCCAGGTTACAAAACAATATGCAAAGCATACTTCCATTTCATTAAAAAAATTCATGTACAAAGGAAAACGAAAATGGAAATATACCAGAAGAATATACTCAATGTTACCAGTGTGTTCCCTAGAAGGAAAGATTTCAGGTTATTATTTTTCTATTTTTCTATATTTTCTTAAATTTCTAAAATTAATACACATTGTTTTTGGAGTCAGAAAGAAAATGAGTATTAGAGGTTAAAAACAAAAGCTGTCCTGGCCAATGGAGAAGTGAGAGAAAAATCGCTTCTCTCCCTAAAAACCATAATCTCCCCTACGATTTACATTCCCAGCAGCATCTCACTAACCTCTCTCTTCTCCACACCCCAGCTACTGGGGGTGCTTGTTTTCTTCATATGCAGGTGTGGCTGGAAACACCCAGCATCCTCCCATAGTCTGCTCCAGTCCAGATCATATGAAAACAGCTTCTGGCTGTGTCTGACGCCACAGGAACCTCACAGATGAGGTTCTCGCCAGTGCCATGGTTTCAGCAGTCTCTGTTTCCACCTGCTGCATCAGACAGGCCAGATATGCTGCAATGACCCTTCCCAGCCATCCTGCAAGACCTGCTCCGCAGGCTCCTTAAGGCATTCACCTGTCCCCTCTTAGCTCCCAGGGTCTGCAGTCCAGCTCACTGTGAACAGCGCTCTCCAGACTGCACAGGTGCCTCCCAGGACACCTGGCTGCAGGCACTGCTGGAGACCCTGCACTGCCAGGTGAGGCCAATAAGCCTGTATGGGATGCTGATAAGGAAACTGAGAATAAATAGGTAACAAATATGGCGCATCAGGGTCACACGAACAGGTGGCATCAACCTTATGTCTGGGAACGGGCATGGGAGGGATCATTTATCCAGCAAACTTGGAAGTAAACGATGCCAGGTGACAATAAAGAACTGAGCGAAACGTCCACTCTACAGTCATGATAACGGTAGGAAGTCCTTGACTAAAACCCATTCACTCTGCTCAATAGAATCATCTGATCTTCATTCAGAACCTATTTATTCTTAGTTTACATTCAGTTTTGAATAGTTCATCTATTTCTCTTTCTCGGGGGGAGGTCAGAGTAAGTCAATTAGGAGCAGAAAATTCTCAAAGGAGAACAAAGACTTATATTTACATGGATGTTCACTGCAGCTGGAACATCTGGAGAAACCTAGGTACACAGGGGACTGTTTCAATAAATTACGTTATATGCATTCAATGGCATACTAAGGAATCCACACTGCTGATTTAGAAAGATTGCCACGATATATTAAGTGATAAAAGCGCTTAACTGCATGAATAGTGTGCTTTCTATTTGTGTTCTGGTACAGGACAGATATGAATATATACCTTCATTTTTTTGTTGTTTGTCTGTTTGGGGTTTTTTTGTTTTTCTTTTTTTGTTTTTTGAGGCAGTCTCGCTCTGTTGCCCAGGCTAGAGTACAGTGGCATGATCTTGGCTCAATGCAACCTCCACCTCCTAGGTTCAAGCGATTATCCTGCCTCAGCCTCCTAAATAGCTGGGATTACAGGCACATGCCAATATACCCAGCTAATTTTTTTGTATTTTTAGTAGAGATGAGGTTTCACCATGTTGGCCAGGCTGGTCTTGAACTCCCGACCTCGTGATTTGCCCACCTCAGCCTCCCAAAGTGCTGGGATTATAGGCTTGAGCCACCGCGCCCAGAATATCTTCATATTTTTTAACATAAATAGAAGCACACTGCATTTAATAGGTCTGGAAGGACACAAAATGTTACATTTTCCAGGGTGAACAAGCGTCGGCATAGGAGGGAAACACATCTTACAGCAGCGTTTGAATTTCTGACTTTTGACTTATTTTTGTACTATTTGAAATGTTTTCCACGTCCTCAAATTATGGCCTCAATTAAAACAATGGTTTATAAAATGAAAAAGGAGAAAAACAACAGAAATTACCGACAATAGACAGCTTGGGAGCAAGAGAAGAGAAACAAGGAAAGTCTCAGTGAGTCAGCAATGCAAAAGAGAGAGCATGAGTGAGAAAAATAAAACTTGGAACCTTCAAGTAAAACAGATAAGTAAGCTCCACTGATTGCTGATGGTATGACTGTATGACAGAATGTTTTTCAATTATGTATTACCAATGACTCTGAAACATCAAAATAAGATTTAGTTGCATTTAACACTCCTTAAGCAGAGAAATGTGAAACACTAAAGACATTCCCATTTAAGTCAGAATTAAGACAAAGACGCCTGCTATTATCATCCCTACTAGTTAGAATTGTTCTGAATGGTGTAGCCAATGCAAGAAGACAAGAAAAGAGAATGAATGGCAGAAAAGAAAAAGGCAGAATTATTATTATTAAAGATGCTATGATGGGCTGGGTGCGGTGGCTCACGCCTGTAATCCCAGCACTTTGGGAAGTGGAGGCGGGTGGATCACAAGGTCAGGAGATGGAGACCATCCTGGCTAACACGGTGAAACCCCGTCTCTACTAAAAATACAAAAAAATTAGTTGGGTGTGGTGGCGGGCACCTGTACTCCCAGCTACTCGGGAGGCTGAGGCAGGAGAATGGCGTGAACCCGGGAGGCAGAGTTTGCAGTGAGCCGAGATTGTGCCACTGCACTCCAGCCTGGGCGACAGAGCAAGACTCCATCTCAAAAAAAAAAAAAAAAAAAAAAGTCTACCCATAAAACCCAGGAAGACAGCCCCTATTCAGTGACCAGGCCAGTCACTGAATAAATACATAAAAGCCAGTTTCTTTCATATATACCAATAGCAAACAATTGGAAAATATACTGGAAAATGACACCATTCACCATGCTACAAACAATTCAAAATGCCCACATATAAACTTAAGAAACATTCAGGGACATAGATGAGGAAACCATGTGGATACCTGATGGACATATCAAAGTTTCATACGAGAAGATTCAATATTATAAAGATTTGGCTGGAAGCAGTTGCTCACGCCTGTAATCCCAGCATTTTGGGAGGCCGAGGTGGGCAGATCACCTGAGGTCAGGCGTTCAAGACCAGCGTGGCCAACATGGTAAAACCCCATCTCTACTAAAAAATACAAAAATCAGGTGTGGTGACACACACCTGTAATCCCAGCTACTCGGGAGGCTGAGGCAGGAGAATCGCTTGAACCCGGGAGGCAGAGGTTGCAGTGCACTGAGATCACGCCATTGCACTCCAGCCTGGGTGACAGAGTGAGACTCCATCTCAAAAAAAAAGAAAAAGAAAAAGAAAAAAATTATAAAGATTCTCATTCCCTCCACATTTATCTATAAAGTTAAAGCCATTTCAATCAGAAGCACAGAGGAATTATTTTTTAAGTTGATCAAATCAGTCTAAAGTTCATCTGGAAACAAAATGCAAAAGACCAGCCAAGGGATTTTGTAATCATGGGATTCATGCCCTAAAATGATTAAAATATTAAAACAGTGTGGCACTGGCAAAAGAACACAGATGTGTATCATTGGACAGAAAGAACTCCAGAAACAGACCAAAGAGAATTAACACATGGCAAAGGAGCATTTCGAATGCGTTAGGGAAAGGTCCACATGGACAAAGTGAAAGGCTGGATTCTTTACCTTACATCAGATCATTTTAGGAATGGATTCAAGATTTAAGTATAAAAAATTAAGCTATGAAAGTGCTAGAATACACTAAAAAGTAGATGAATATCTTATAACCTCTTATTGAAATGACACCAAAGGCAGAAGTTAAACATAAAATACTTATATAAAAGTAAAAAGCATTTTTCTGCATGAACGAGCACCAGAAGCAAAACAGAGGCAAGGGACAAACTTGGGGAAACTGTTTGCAATTGAAATAACAAATAATTTACATCCTCAATATTCAAAGAATGCTCACAAATAAGTAACAAAATATTCATCCCTCAATGGAAAAAATACACAAAGGTCCTGAATAAGCAATTCCCCAAAAAAAGGAACACAAGTGGCTAACAGACATGTTATTTTAAATGTTCAAAGAAATGCATACTTTTAAAACTTAACATGCTGTTTCTTTTTTTTTTTTTTTTTTTTTTTTGAGACGGAGTCTCGCTCTGTTGCGCAGGCTGAAGTGCAGTGGCATGATCTCAGCTCACTGCAACCTCTGCCTCCTGCATTCAAGCGATTCTCCTGCCTCAGCCTCCTGAGTAGCTGGGATTACAGGCATGCGCCACCATGCCTGGCTAATTTTTGTATTTGTAGTAGAGACGGGGTTTCACCATGTTGGCCAGGCCAGTCTCAAACTCCTGACCTCGTGATCCGCCTGCCTCAGCCTTCCAAAGTGCTGGGATTACAGGTGTGAGCCACCGCACCTGGCTTCAATATGCTATTTCTTACCATTCAGTTTAGCAAAGATTTCATAAAGGACAATACACAGCCTCAGTGAGGTTACAGAGAAACTGCCACTCTTTGATGCTGCTGATGGAAACACAAATAAGTAAAACTTATCTGACAAGCAATTTGCCAATACATATAGAAGACTTAAAGGATTTTAAAATGTGTATATATACACACATTTTAATATAGCTACATTTAATATGTATATACACATTTATATGTACATATTATATTCGTACATACATATATGTGTGTGTGTACATATATATGTATACACACACACCCTCTGACTCACCAAATGTGATTCTAAGACTCTATCCTCCAAAAAGAACTAAACAGACACACAGAGGTTTAGCTCCAAGAATGTACCTCACTGTGCTATGAGTAATAGAAAAAAACTGGAAACAACCTTCAGACCCTACAGTGAGAAACTCATCAGAATCTGTGGTACATTCATGTACTAAGATGCCAAGCAGTCATGAAAATTAGGTTGCAGCAAGAGAGTCAAGATATCAGTAAGTTTTAAAAAGTAGGTTATAAAATAGTATATGTTTGAATATAAAATCCTGTTTGTAGAAACTGAATGTTTGTATGCATTAAAAGGTAAAACAGAAGTGTATATAACAAAATGTAAATAGTATGTATACTAGAAGTTTCTCTGGACAATGGGATAATGAGTGATTTTTTTCTTTTAACTTGTCCACATTTTCTTTTTTGAGACAGGGTCTCGCTCTGTCACCCAGGCTGGAGTGCAGTGCCACAATCTCGTCTCACTGCAACCTCTGCCTCCCAAGTTCAAGTGATTCTCCTGCCTCAGCCTCCCAAGTAGCTGGGACTACAGGCGCCCGCCACCACGCCCAGCTAATTTTTATATTTTTAGAAGAGACAGGGTTTCACCATGTTGGCCAGGCTGGTGTCAAACTCCTGACCTCAAGTGATCCACCTGCCTCGGCTTCCCAAAGTGCTGGGATTACAGGCGTGAGCCACCGCGCCCAGCCAACTTGTCCACATTTTCTAAATGTTTTAAAATTTACCAGGTACAATGGCTGACTCCTGTAATCCTACACTTTGAGAGGCTGCGGCAGGAGGACCACTTGAGCCCAGGAGTTCATCAGCCTAGGCAACATAGCAAGATACCATCTCTACCAAAATTAAGAAAATTCGCCAAGTGTGGAGGCTCTTGTCTGTGGTCTCAACTACTCAGGAGACTGAGGTGGATGGATCACTTGAGTCTGGTAGGTCAAAACTACAGTGAACTGTGATCGTGCCACTGCACTCCAGCCTGGGCAACAGAGTGAGACCTTGTCTCTAAAATAAATAAATAAATAAAATTTAGAATAAGAAAAATATTTCTAATAAGTTATTTGTTACTTAAGCTTACTCAACAAAGCTTGGGTAATACCTATGTTCATAGCAGTATTATTCACAATAGCAAATAGCTGGAAGCAATCCAAATGTCCATGGATGGATGAATGGATACAGAAAATGCGGTTTATCAGGCCGGTATGGTGGCTCACGCCTGTAATCGCAACACTTTGGGAGGCCGAGACGGGCAGATCACTTGAGGCCAGGAGTTCAAGACCGGCCTGGCCAACATGGCAAAACCCCATCTCTACTAAAAACACAAAAATTGGCTGGGCGCAGTGGCTCACGCCTGTAATCTCAGCACTTTGGGAGGCCGAGGCGGGCGGATCACAAGGGCAGGAGATCGAGACCATCCTGGCTAACGCAGTGAAACCCCGTCTCTACTAAAAATACAAAAAATTAGCCGGGCGTGGTGGTGGGCACCCGTAGTCCCAGCTACTCAGGAGGCTGAGGCAGGAGAATGGCGTGAACCTGGGAGGCGGAGCTTGCAGTGAGCTGAGATTGCACCATTGCACTCCAGCCTGGGCGACAGAGCGAGACTCTGTCTCAAAAAAAAAATACAAAAATTAGCCAAACATAGTGGTGTGCGCCTGTAATCCCAGCTATGGGTGGCTGAGGCACGAGAATCACTTGAACCCAGGACACAAAGGTTGCAATGAGCTGACATCGCACCACTGCACTCCAGCCTGGGCCACAGAGTGATACCCTGTCTCAAAAAAAATTTTGACCTATCCAGGCTGGGCGCCATGGCTCACACCTGTAATCCCAACATTTTGGGAGGCCAAAGCTGGTGGATCACTGGATGCCAGGAGCTTGAGACCAGCCTGGCCAACATCATGAAACCCTGTCTCTACTAAAAAAATACAAAAATTACCCAGGCATGGTGGTTTGCGCCTATAATACCAGCTACTCGGGAGGCTGAGACATGAGAATCGCTTGAATCTGGGAGGGAGAGGTTGCAGATGGAGTGAGACCCCGTCTCAAAAAAAAAAAAAAAAAAAAAAAGAGAAGAAAAGAAAATGTGGCCTCTCCATACAATGGAGTATTACTCAGTCTTAAAAAGGAAGGAGATTCTGACACATTTACACAACTTGGGTGAACCATGGTGACATGATACTAAATGAAATAAGCCAGTCGCCAGGTGTGGTGGCTCACACCTGTAATCTCAGCACTTTGGGAGGCCGAGGCAGGAGGATCACTTGAGGTCGGGAGTTTGAGACCAGCCTGGCCAACATGGTGAAACCCCGTCTCTACTAAAAATACAAAAATTAGCCGGACGTGGTGGTGCATGCCTGTAATCCAGGTACTCAGGAGGCTGAGGCAGGAGAATCGCTTGAACCCGGGAGTCACCGAAGGACAACTACTGTATGATTCCACTGATATGAGGTAGCTAGAGTAGTCAGATTCCTAGAGACAAAGTAGATTAGAGGTTTCCAGAGTCTGGGGCAGGAAGAAGTTGTTTCAGGGGTATAGAGTTTCAATTTAGGAAGTTGAAAAAGTTCTGGAGACGGATGGTGATGATGGTGAATGTACTTCATGCCACTGAACTGTACACATAAAAGTGGCTAAACGGGCCGGACACGGTGGCTCACGCTTGTAATCCCAGCACTCTGGGAGGCCGAGGCAGGCAGATCACCTGAGGTCGGGAGTTCGAGACCAGCCTGACCAACATGGAGAAACCCCGTCTCTACTAAAAATACAAAATCAGCCGGGCGTGGTGGCACATGCCTGTAATCCCAGCTACTCAGGAGGCAGAGGCAGGAGAATCACTCGAACCCGTGAGGCAAATGTTGCAGTGAGCCGAGATCGTGCCATTGCACTCCAGCCTGGGCAATAAGAGAGAAACTCCATCTCAAAAAAAAAAAAAAAAGGCGGGGGGTTAAACGTAGGATCCAGTTTAACTTTGGTCAGGCACTGTGGCTTGAGCCTGTAGTTCCAGCTACTGGGGAGGCTGAAGCAGAAGGATCCCTTGAACCTAGGAGTTTTGAGGCTGCAGTGAGCTATGATCCTACCACTACACTCCAGTCTGGGGGAGAGGGCGAGACCCTGTCTCTAAAACATAGAGAAAAATGGTTTAGATGGTACATTTTATGTTATGTATATTTTACCACAATTAAATAATAATAAAAAGTTTGACACATAAAATGTTTCCATTTTTAAAGTTTGGGGGAGGAAAAGTCACTTAAGGGAAACAGCTCATTCTCTGATAATGCCAAATAAATGAGGTGTTATTGTAGGCAGTGAGACATAAGCAGCTCTCCAGAAACCTTGCACTTGGCACTGCCGAGTCCTCCGCCTGGCAGCCAGTGCCCTCCTCAGCTGGCTGTTTTTCAATCCATCTCCCTTTGGTCGGCTTCACACGCCCTGGGTTTCCCTGCTGGGCCCAGGCTGAGGGTCCCGGTGGAGGGGAGGACATGGAAAGGAGGAGCGGGGCCGCCCGGCTCTTGCCCACCCAGCTCCAGGCTTGCCTTAGATGGGCACCCACCCTCAGAGTGGCCAAGCCTCCTCAAGGCCCTGCCAGCCTCCCTGCCCCCTTCTCTTGGCTCCCAGTCCATAGGAGCATTTGACTTTCTAATTCTTCCCTTCTCACAACAAAAAGCTAAATGTTCCCCAGGCACTTGGCCTGGTTTCTGTACCCAAGCAGAGAAATGGCCAGAGAAGACAAGCAGCGGGAAGCCAGCCTTAGCAAGGTCTCCTGAGTGGCTGCCTCCTGCACTCTCAGCCTTTATAAACCGGCATCTGTATCCCCCTCTTTCTGCTCCTAAATGACCAGAAACATCCATGACTTTCTTGCTTAGTGAGTCACAGAGAGTCCTTACCTGCTTTGGTAAGTAAGAAAGATGAGGAGTTAGGCCAGGCGCGGTGGCTCACACCTGTAATCCCAGCACTCTGGGAGGCCGAGGCAGGCGGATCATGAGGTCAAGAGATCGAGACTGTTCTGGCCAACATGGTGAAACCCCATTTCTACTAAAAATACAAAAATTAGCCAGGCATGGTGGTGCATGCCTGTAGTCCCAGCTACTTGGGAGGCTGAGGCAAGACAATCGCTTGAATCCAGGAGGCAGAGGTTGCAGTGAGCTGAGATCATGCCACTGCACTCCAGCCTGGTGACAGAGTGAGACTCCATCTCAAAAAAAAAAAGAAAAAGAAAAAAAAAAAGATGAGTTTGGTAGCCCGGCTCCTACCAAAAGATGATCAATGCCATAAGTTGGGAGGAGACAGGCGTCAACACCATTCCCCACTCACATACCCACAGCCCGTCCTCCAGCCTCAGCCTTTCCCACCATGTCCTCAAATGCCCATCTCTCCCTTTGGCCTCAAAAGGATAGACAGGCTGTGGGCTTCAGGACTTCTGGGGCATAGAAGGGAGCAGTGATAATTTTGCTTAGTAACTACCCTACTGTGTCCAGATAGCTTGTTGGTGTTTAAAAAAAAAAGTTTGTTTGGCCACTCTAACAAGTCCCCGCCAGAAACTGCAGGAGGTCGGTAGCAGGAGCCAGGTTGTAAAAGAGAGATGAAACCCCCAACTGGAAAAAGATGATCACAGGCAAGCGGCTGCGGCTGCGAACGAAAAGCTTTGTCTCCAGTGCCGTGGTGTTTGGGATGAGCAGAGGTAGAAGGGCCCTGAGAGTCCGAAAGCACCCATCACGTTCAAGGTGGTTTTTGCAGGCAGGGGAAGCACACAGCAGGTGTTCTCAGAAGGGACAATGAACATTTAGGTTCCACCCAGCAGTGAAAAACCCACCAGGGGTAGAGAACAGGGAACATCTGAGACAGTCTTCTGGCAAAACTTGTGCGTTATCAACAAGAAATTGTCACCTAGGACATTGCTCTAATGTGTTTAACAAGGTATAAAAAGTAGAAATTGGAGAATAGCCAAAACATATGTCCTTAATTTTTTTTTTTTTTTTAGATGGAATCTTGCTCTGCCGCCCAGGCTAGAGTACAGTGGCACAATCTCGGCTCACTGCAACCTCCGCCTCCCGGGTTCAAGCGATTCTCCTGTCTCAGCCTCCCGAGTAGCTGGGACTACAAGTGCCCGCCACCACACCTGGCTAACTTTTTTGTATTTTTAGTAGAGACGGGGTTTCACCATGGTGGTCAGTCTGGTCTCGAACTCCTGAACTCGGGTGATCCACCAGTCTCGGCCTCCCAAAGTGCTGGGATTACAGGCGTGAGCCACCGCGCCTGGCACCCTTAACTTAATAATAAAGCTAGAGCACAAATGAGGCTCCTCATACCTGGTCTTCTCAGCTCTCCACAACACAGGAGACTCTGTACCCTAAGCTGGGGGTCCTGCCTCCACAACAGTCACCAGCACTCCGATGGCGGACACCCAGGATCCAGGCATGAGGCTGAGGAGAAATTAATCAGTAAACCCAACCGTTTAAATAGTTCAGACATATCACGCTTTGCAGGGTGAACAGGTGCGAGGGTTTCGTGATGGCTGGCCACAAGGAACCCGGAGAGAGGTTGTTTCTCCGTATTTGGAATCGTTCAGACTCTTGATACTGGAAGGAGAACAACAGATTGAACCCTGAGGTCCTCCATGCATGCTTCCAGCCAGCTCGGAAATGGTTACTGTGGCTCAGTCAAGCTGCCAGCCCTGTCTGAAAACCCAAAACCTGCAAAGAAGATAATTGAAGCGGAAAAATCCTCCATCTGTGGCATGTGAACGTGTTCCAGGCTTCCGGGTCTGCCCTGGGGTCTCAGTCCTCAAATGAACAACCCACCCAGGAGCGGGTGGAGGTGGGACTCAGAGCCCATCCACCCATCCGTCTGTGGCAACTATTTGGTGTGTGTCATTGGGGTGCTAGGAGCTCCAGAGAACATAGAGCGGCTTGCTTTGGAGGGACCTCAGAGGACACCTAAGGCCAATCCCTTGTTTCATAAGAAGGAGTCTGAAGCCCAGAGAGGGGAAAGGACTGGCCCAACCCTACCCAGTGAGCTGGTAATAAAGCCACACCCAGAACCCAGAACTCCTGATCCCCACTTACTAGGGATCCTCAAAATCTTTAAGAGCAGGACAATAAGAAATTCCAAGTCATGGAAGA
This sequence comes from Homo sapiens, assembly GCF_000001405.40. Classification (NCBI taxonomy): domain Eukaryota; kingdom Metazoa; phylum Chordata; class Mammalia; order Primates; family Hominidae; genus Homo; species Homo sapiens. The sequence goes on along the minus strand of NC_000017.11, from coordinate 9,088,270 downwards.
GGTGGCCAAAAGACCCTTGAAGCCAACTTGCAGATGGACACCCACTGGGCACCCACAGAAGTCCCTCGGCACGGCCGTCGGGAGCTGGTCCCCTGTCTCCCGCCTCCTGCCCCCTGCCTGTCCCCACTGGGTGGCTCGTGCACCAGCAATGCCAGCTTGGTGAGCTGGGGTTCTGGCCTTCTCCTTCCAGCACAGCAGTATGCGTCTCAGCTCTGGATGAGGCAGCCTCGTTCCTGCCTCTGGGGAGGAAGGACAGCAGTGGGGAGCATGGGACAAAGTGGCTCCATTCAGCCTCCTGGTCGAATTGGGGTTTCTACATCTGCTCTTGGGTAGACCACAGCCTCCCTGGGGGCAGGATGCCCCAGGAGCACTCAGTGGAGGACTTAGATCTAACCTCTCCTGTTTTGTATTCTGCAAGGTCACGGCCCTCACACAGGGTCAACTGTTTAGAAAGCACAAGTCTGGCTTTATGTGAAAGCCGTTCGTGAAAGCTACTGGGCAAATCGGCACAGGCCCAGGGTTCCAAACAAAGGATGAGCAGCTGTCTCGAGAAAAGAGAGCTGAGAACTCTCAGCTTGATTCAATCCTCTGGGTAATTGTGGAGAAGAGCACCTGGAGGGAGCTCTGAGGATGTCTAAGGATCCCAGGACTCTGGTATGTGGGAGCAATGAATGCTTCAAACTCCTACACCAAATGATGTCTCCCTGCCTCAGTCTCCCCCTTCTCAGCTCCACTGCCCACTGGGTGACCAGAGTGATCTTCCTACAGCACAAGCCAATCACGGTCCCCTCCCACTTAAAACCTTTCAATACGGTCTTCCTGTTGTCATCAAGACGAAGTCCAAAACTAGAAAACGCCAATCAGGGCTTGCAGGATCAGACCTTGCCCTACACTCAAGCTTCATCTCTCACCTCTTACACTCAGCACTCTGGCCACACAGCCTCTTTGGGTCTCGAATGCCCCCAGCTCTCTGTCTCTCTGTGGCCCTGTGCCTGCATCTCCCTCTCCCCAGAATGCTCCTGGCTCCTTGTCAGACCCCACCCCACCTAGCCACCTCCCACTCATCCTTCTAGGGTGGTTGGCAAACTAAGGTTCCACAACAGGTAGCCTGAACTTGAATCCTGAGTCTAACACTGAGAAACTCACTCTGTGACCTTGGTCAAACTGTGTAACCTTTAGGATCCTCATTTTCTTCACCTCTAAAGTGAGAATAACAACTTGGCTTCATAGGGTCACGGTGGAAATTAAATGAGACAATGTGTGCAAAGAGCTTTGCATGGTGCCAGGCACACAGAAGGTGGTCAAGCATGCTAGCTGCCATGATGCTAGTGGTGGTACTGATGACAACGGTGCTGATGCTGATGGTGATGGTGAAGCTGATGGTGATATTGAGAAGGAGGTGGGAAGTGATGATGATGGTGACAATAATGGTGATGATGACAGCAACGATGATGGTGATGATGGTGATGGTGCAGGTGGTGATGGTAATGAGGACAGTGAAGATGACAGGACAGTCATGATGACAGCATGATGATGGCAATGATGGTAAAGGAGATAGTGATATTGATGACAGTGAGCATGATGATGATGACATCAATGGTGATGATGGTGATCATGAAGGTAGGTGGTCACAGTGATGATCTGTTTGGTGATAATTTCATTTCCTCCAGGAAGCGTTCCCTGATCCTGCCCCGCAAGTGGCTCTGGTACCTCTTCCTCCTGCTTCCATAGCACCCGTTCTAACCTCTCACAGCCCTGTATTGTAATTGCTGGTGTACATTCCCCTCTAGAGTGAGTGCCTTGAGGTCAGGAACCCTATGGTTCTCTCCACTGTATTTCAATCATTTAGCATTCAAACTAGCATGAGACAGAGGCTTCAGAAATACCCACCGAATGATCTCAATGTTTGTTTGTTTTATTTTTATTTTTAGAGATGAGGGTCTCACTATGTTACCCAAACTGCTGGACTCGAACTCCTGGGCTCAAGTAATCCTCCTGCCTCAGGCTCCCCAGCAGCTGGGACAACAGGCAAGGACCACTGCACTCGGCTTATTTGTTAGTTTTTATTTTTGAAGACACCATAACAACTTATCTCCCTACACCTACTTCCACTTGCTACAATCAACAAGAAAACCCCTCATAAAAAGAATGGAGGAAATAATAATCTTAAATGAGTAACAAATGGGACACTACCTGGTGTTTATGAAGTTGCTTTCATAAATTATCAATTGGGGCAGAAACGAATCTCACTTAGGCTCTCTGGCTTCCTGCAAGAGACCATCTGGGCAATTCCTGCAAAGAGCCCTGACTTGGAAATCCCATGTGTAGTAGCAGTGAGAGCCAGGCAAGAGGAGAGGAGACAGTTCTCCCCACGTGCGCCCCTCTGTCACCCCACGAGAAGCTGAGCTCCGAGAACTGGAGCTTTGGTCTGGTTTGATCTCTGCTGAATCCCCAGCGCCTTGAATGCTCCTGGCACATAGCAGGTGCTCAAAACCTATTCGCTGATTGGCTGAATGAAAACGGCCATAAGAGCAGCTGTCATTTGAGTACCCAACTGTGTGTGGGCCCCATGCAAAGTCCTCTCTTGTGTGTCACTGAGGTTGGTATTTTTGTTATTTCCACTTCACAGACGAAGTCACTGAGGCTAGAGCTCCCGGGATGGTTGGTGATCCTGTGGACGTTGATCTGTAGATGCAAGAACTGAGGCACAGTAGCAGAGAAGCTAACTGTTGCCAATATCCATCCTCCACTTCCTTTTAGTTAAGGGACGCATGGTCACCCAGCGAGAGACCATACTTCCCAGGATACCTTGCAGCCAGGTGTGGCCACATGATGAAGTCTGAGGCGATGGAATATGAGTGGAAATGACACGCGTAACTTCCACTTCACTTCCTTAAAGGAAATTGCTCTCCCTCCCCTTCCTCTTTCCCTCTTCCAGCAGGCTGGAATGAAGACAGGGTGCTGGAGGACCAGCTTCCATCGGGAAGCTGAGGATAGCCCCCCAGAGGGTGGCAGAGCAGCTGGACAGGGGGCTGGGTTCTGCTCTGGATGACAATCATGGGACAGCACTGCCTACTTACCCCACGCATCCCCACCACCCAGCCACGAAGTGAGGGAAAGAGGTATCCACCTCGCTTGAGCCAGTGTGTTCTGAGGTCTCTGTAAATGAGCCTACAGCTAACCAGGAGGTCCTTGCCCAAGTCACACAGCTCACTTCTTTTGCTCATTTCTGTAGCATCCTGGTACAAGTGCATGAAGCTGCTGGCTCTACTCTCATTGCTGCAAGTATCAGAAAAAAGTGTTAGAAACTGCAAAGAACGGGGTCAGGCACGGTGGCTCACGCCTGTAATCCAGCACTTTGGGAGGCCGAGGCAGGCAGATCACGAGGTCAGGAGATCGAGACCATCCTGGCTAACACAGTGAAACCCCATCTCTACTAAAAATACAAAAAAATAGCCAGGCATGGTGGCGGGTGCCTATAGTCCCAGCTCCTTGGGAGGGTGAGGCAGGAGAATCACTTGAACCCAGGAGGCGGAGGTTGCAGTGAGCCGAGATCACGCCACTGCACTCCAGCCTGGGCAACAGAGTGAGACTCCATCTCAAAAAAAAAAAAAAAAAAAAAAAACTGCAAAGAACAAAGCCAAAGCTGAAGAGGCCCACAGGAAGGCTGTGGAATGTCCAGAGGTCTCCTTCCACCAATGCTCTGGAGTGGAGCAGGGAAAAGGAACCAGGGCTTACGGTGTTGCCCCCCAGATGGAAATCTCTGCAACGAGTCACCCACACTTCCCAAAGGGCCACCCGGTGACAGCGTCCTGTGAAAACAACACTCTAGTGGCTGTTTCTACACTGGAATGAGGACACTTTGGGGTTTGGGTTTCCCTCCCACACAATGACTAGACAAAGCAGCCTCTTTTTATTTAAATCATCCTGCACGTTCATGGAATTTTTCTCTGGCTATCCCCAGCATGTTAGTGAAAGCCACAGGAATATCTTATCTCATGCAGGCGTGGTGGCACATGCCTGTAATCCCAGCTACTCAGGAGGCTGAGGCAGGAGAATCACTTAAACCCGGGAGGCGGAGCTTGCAGTGAGCTTAGATCAAGCCACTGCACTCCAGCCTGGGCAACTACACGTGCTTCTGAAAAGTTAACAATTCTGCATTTCTACAAACTGTATCCTTTTGGAAATATATTTCGGAAGCTTTCCATCTAAAAGAATGCTAACATGATCTACACCCAAAAGTGGATCATCACCCCCATGATAGACGCTTTTTCAATCCCCTTCCCCAGCCCGGTGGCTCTCATTAGCCACTCTGCACCTCCTCAATGTGCCTCTCAAAGGCCAGAGCCCAGAAGCAAATGCAATATTCTAAGCATATCTGTCTCTCCCCAAGGAAGCGAAGACTCATCTCTGTGCTAACTAACAGAAAACTCGACCCAAAATGGCTTGAATTACATGGGTTTGTGTAACTGAAGGTCCGGAGGTAGAACCGGGTTCATTCAGGGATGTGATCCAGGACTTAGTGTCTTCTACCTGTCCTTCTATGTCCTCTATGCCTTCGTGGTCTCAATATCATCCTTTGGTGGGTGTTCCCTGTGATAGCAAAGGGGATGCAGCAGTTCCAGGCTTCGTATCCACACACCACAGCATCCAAGGTGAGCAAGAAGGCTAGTTTCCAGAATCCCCCACAGAAGAGCTAGGTACCTTATTTACAAAAGCCTTCAGCCAATGTCCCTTCATGCTTCATTAGACCAAACCAGGTCACATGACCATTCCTGAACCAATTCCTGTAGCCAGGAAAATGCTGTGTATTGATCAATCACGTGGCAAGGAGCATGGAATCATCCTGACTGGATTACAAAACCACAGACAATCAGCTGGGTGTAGTGGCTCACGCCCATAACCCCAGCACTGTGGGAGGCTGAGGCAGGCCAATCACCTGAGGTCAGGAGTTCGAGACCAGCCTGGCCAACATGGTGAAACCCTTCCTCTAAAAATTCAAAAATTAGCCAGGTGTGGTGGCGCATGCCTGTAATCCCAGCTACTCAGGAGGCTGAGGCAGGAGAATCACTTAAACCTGGGAGGCGGAGCTTGCAGTGAGCTGAGCTCAAGCCACTGCACTCTAGCCTGGGCAACAGAGCAAGACTTGATCTCAGAAGAAGAAGAAAAAAAAAACCCACGGACAATCCCCCCAAGGCCAATGGCAGAACACGGAGAATGAGGGGTGGGAAGGGTATTGAGGAGATGGTCAGTGTCCCCTACAACCTCCTGTCTCTAGACACTAGAGAGCTATGATGATCGAAGCTTACGTTAGCTTCCTTTGGCAACCACATCCATGGTTGACTCAAATAAATCCTCCCCTCAGCTAAAACCCTTGAGTCTCACTGATAATATAAGTATCTATGACATGGTAATGGTGCAATTCATTCTTTAGACCTAAGGAAGACTTCAGATTTATCCTCCCGATGTTTCATCTGATTTGGTTGGTTCCATCATCTTAGCCAATCAAGATCATTTCATAAACTGATTCTGTCATCCAAAATTAAAAAAAAAAAAAAGGCGAGAAACTCTCATGGCCAATCTCTACTCTATGCACTCGTAGAGTAACGCAGACCTCCTATCCTCTCTGTGAAGCCCCCGGCCCGGCGTCTGCAGCAGGCAGTGTGTGTGCGCTGCTCACGGCCCCACACTCTGCCTCATGCCTGAGCGCAGCTGCCCTCACCAGCCAGTTGTGTATGTTCTCAGCCCATTTAAAACAGTGTGAAAAGTGTGGTTGTTTCTATGAAAACTCAACTGCAAAGACTCAACAAAACCAGTCACTACATTTACAAAATGCAGCTGTCAAATGAGGTGTAGAGGAGATATCCAGAAAAGATTGAGGCAAAATTATTTTTAAAAATACAAGATGCTGGCCAGGCGTGGAGGCTCATGCCTGTAATCCCAGCACTTTGGGAGGCTGAGGCGGGAGGATCACCTGAGGTCAGGAGTTTGAGACCAGCCTAGCCAACGTGGCAAAACCCCGTCTCTATTAAAAATACAAAAAATTAGCCGGATGTGGTGGTGGGTGCCTCTAATCCCAGTTACTCAGGAGGCTGAGACAGGAGAATCTCTTGAACCCAGGAGGCAGAGGTTGCAGTGAGCCAAGATCACACCACTGTACTCCAGCCTGGGGGACAGAGCAAGACTCAGTCTCAAAAACAAACAAACAAAAAAACAAGATTTTGAACCCAGATAACTTCAGGCTTGTCTGAGGAATCACACCACTTTCATGAAACCAACTGCAGACTGGAGACAAGGTTTGTGCAAGAGACAACACAGAACCCACCCAGCAGACCCAAACTCGGAGAAAACGTCTTGGCCCTGCAGCAAGTTGGCAAATGGAAGTGCTCTTCCAGGCCTTATGTAAGGTTAAAAGTGAATTTTTAAATATTTATCTGACTTTCTTCAATGTGCAGCCAACTATTAACTTAAGGTTGAAGGCAACCTTAAGGCATGAAAGTGCTTCCTCTATGGCTATCCCACCCCTGACCCCCAGCCTCCTGCCATTCATATCTGCAAGGGACTGTCATCAATCTCCTCTTCCCGGGAGTGAAGATATTGAGAAAGGCCCACCTGAGGCCAGAGCTCTCTCTGCGACAGCAGTCGGCTTCCTCGTTAACCTGTTGTGATGAAAGGTAGTACTTCATGGCAGGATGTGTGGACGGGTGGGGCAGGTGGGTTTGGGGGTGGAGGACGAGAGGTGAGGAGACTATCTGGGTGGGTATGAAGGTCTCCATGTGAACAGAGCTTGGGTGTTGGTGATAAATGGAATGAAACAGGTGCAAATGGAACATCACATGGGGAAAATCAACAAGATTAGGTGACTGGTTGAGACGTCAAAGATTAAGATGGGCTCCTGGGTGATCTTCATTGGCACAGAGATAACCACAGAGGAAGTACGTTTCAGTCATTAAGATGAGTCTGTACAAAAAACAGCTTCTCCTCACACTCACCCCACAACAATCAATACCTCTGGTCACCAAGAAGTGTGAGGGAATTTTTTTCTCCAACAACCAAGCAAACAATTGTGCAATGGACACCAGCTGGGTGTCCTCCAATTTAATTCTGACACTATGTATCTGGATATAGTGTCAAATCCCATCTGTTGAGGGCTCAGTCGCATAAGACTGCCCCCAGCACTTCTGATGCCAATCACAAGCCCCACGTTGTTTTACTTGTGCTTCTGACCAACCAGCTATAAGTCAAGGTTCCCTAGAGCCCCTCCTCAGGTTCAGTTAATTTGCTAGAGTGGCTCAGGGAAACACATTTGCCGGTTAATTATAAAGGATATTACAGAGAATACAGGTGAAGAGATACATAGGGTGAGACATGTGGGAAGGGCGAGGAGCTTCCATGCCCTCCCTGGGACCATCACCCTCTAGGAACCTCCACATGATCAGCTATCAGAAGCTCTCCAAACGCTGTCCTTCTGAGTTTTTATGGAGGCTTCATTACACAGGCATGACTGATTAAATCATTGGCCACGGGTGATCAGCCCAACCTTCAACCTTCAACCCCTCTTGCTTCACCGGAGGTGGGGCAGGGAGAGGGAAAGTCCAAGCCCTCTCACCCTGCCATGGTCTTTCTGGTAACCATCCTCCATCCTGAAGCTACCTGGAGGCTGCCAGCCACCAACCAATCCTTAGCACACAAAAGACATCTGATCCCTTTGAAGATTCCAAGGATTTTAGGAGTTGTATGCCAAGAAACAGGGACCAAGACCAAATATACATTTCGCAATATTACAATGAGATTTCAAATGTTCTAAGTTAGAGATAACACTACTGGATGCTTCTAGAGAGACTGGAACAGAGATGGATAACTGGAACCATCCACCTCTTAACTCTAACAGTGAATGGGATCGGTGAGACCTGAAGTGTAGAGGGCTCCAGGGAAGGCAGCAAGGAGGACCAGTCAAGGAGGGAGACAGACGAGGCCTGAGCAGCAATGAGGAGAGAATTCCAGAGGGGATAGAGAGGTCCATGTGTGCAGTGCTTCAGAGGTCACGCAGGGGGCTGCATTTAGCTACGAAGGTCATTGGTCACCTCAGTTACAAATTTCAACGATGTGCTGAAGACACTGGGGAGACTGCAAGGAGCCTGGAAACAGGCCTGCTAGAGAATCACTTCCTCAGGGAGCCAGGAAACAGGCCCACTGGGGAACCACTTCCTCAGGGGAACCAGTTCCTCCAGGGCCAGGAAACAGGCCTGCTGGGGAAACACGTCCTCATGGGAACCACTTCCTCGGGGGCCAGGAAACAGGCCTGCTGGGGAACCACTTCCTTGGTGGTCAGGAAACAGGCCACTGGGGAACCACTTCCTTAGGGGCCAGTAAACAAGCCTGCTGAGGAACCACTTCCCAGGGGGAACCACCTCCTTGGGGGCCAGGAAACAGGCCCATTGGGGAACCACTTCCTCCAGGGCCAGGAAACAGGCCTGCTGAGGAACCACTTACCAGGGGGAACCAGGAAACAGGTCCACTGGGGAACCACTTCCTCCAGGGCCAGGAAACAGGCCCGCTGAGGAACCACTTCCCAGGGGGAACCAGGAAACAGGTCCACTGGGGAACCACTTCCTCCAAGGCCAGGAAACAGGCCTGCTGGGGAACCACTTCCTGGGAGGCCAGGAACTAGACCCACTGGGCTACCACTTCCTCTGGGGAACCACTTCCTCAAGGGCCAGAAAATAGGTCCGCTGGGGAAACACTTCCTCAGGGGTGGGGACCAGCTAGAAGGGGTGCTAGAGGAAAGAATAGTGTTAAGGAAAAAAGAGACACTGCTCACAATCAAAGCCATCAATACAGATGGGGAGGAGAAGATAAGCTCCCCAGCCTATCCCATTGTACAGACACATTTTTAAGGGGACTAGAAAAAAGTCCAAAGCTGAGGAGGAAGTGTTTCAGACATTGAAAAACCTTCCAGAATGCACAAGAGATTATGCACAAGTTGCTGCAGCTCACCCCCTGGGTATCTCCTACCCCGCAAGAATGGTGACCCCACCACCCTGGAGCAGGGTTCTACTCCCTTGGCACAGCAACAGGGGGTCTACAGAAGGGGTCCTTCCATCACAACCTCAGCTCTGGGCTGCACAAAAGATCTGGGGCCCTGTACTATCAAGCTTCTGCTTCTTTGCCATCTCAGGCCCTCTTCCTGCCCATGGGTCTTCTCCCCCAGAACCCAAGGCTGGATGTGGAGTAGAGGGAGAGGCTGAGGAGCCATTAGGATTGTAGAAGCCATGGGGGCATCCCTGGATGTTCTATTTCTTTCCAGATGTATGCACTCCAGAGTTCCTAAATCAGCTTCTATGTTCTTCAAAGAATGGGTTCAAAGTAAAAGAGAAGCGTAGAAAGGGGGCTGAACTCTGTCTCCTGGAGCAAACCGCATCATTTCTCCAGAATATCAGCTCCAGGAAGACTTTTTGTCTGCCTGACTCACTAATACTTGTTTGAGAAGTTCAGAGGGGTGACTCCAGAGATCAAGTTTTCCTTGGGGACATTCCAGGGATGGTTTCTCTATCCCAGAAGCCCACAGAGTCTCACTTTTCTATCTTATTTGCCATTGCAGGTTGCCCAGAGGTTAGGCCCAGGTACCCTGGTTGACTCCTTCTAGAAAAGACACTGAGCAAGTCATGTTCTGGAACATAAAACCTCAGCCATAAAGAAGATCTAAGAACAGAAGCTACCCTGAAATGTGGTAAGGCTGAAGCTATTTCTGCCAGAATTCATGCAGACTCTCAGGTACTCATCTTTAAAATGCAGTCGGGAGCCAGAGATTCCGGGGGACAGGATGCTCACGCTCCATCCCTCACCTGCTCCCAGATGTACCAGCCTTTGTGCCATGTCCATTTTCTCTCTGGCCCCCTTTCATCTGGCTAACTCCTCCCTGTCCTTCCTTCCAGAAGTTGTTCCTAACGATCCCACTGCCCCCACCCAGGGAACTGCTGCCTGGTATTGGATAGCAACCTGTGCCTCCCCATTGCTTAATCACAGCTTATGATACTTACCTGTCTAACTCTAGACTGGACTGTGAGAGCCTCATGAAAGCAAGGGATCGCCATTCTTCTGCTCACCACTCTCCCATCACCAAGCACACTGCCTGATGCAGAACAAGGCTCAGTAAATCTTAGTTCACTGGGTGGATGGATGGATGGATGGATGGATGGATGGATGGATGGATAGATGGATGGGCAGGCAAATTAACAAACAATACTGAGTGGTGACAAGGAGTGCTTAACCACCATCTGGGAATGGGAACACAGGAGTGGAGTAATGATAATTAAACCTGTTAAGGCAAACATCTTCCTTGGGATGACCTCCACAATCCCCACACAGAGCCCAGGACCCCCATAAGCCTCCACAAATACTGATGACCAACAGACATTCATTGAACACCGGTCCTGCCTCATCCGCTTAGAGGGATTCTTAACTCTCCTGCATGGCTGAAGTTGTGGAGACCCGTTTAAGACTAGAGAAATGGGTGGTTTATACATTTCTTTTGTCTGAAGTTTCTTCCAATGACCTCTCCATCACCTTTCCAATTTTCCTGGATATTTTATTAGCAGTAAAGTTCATCTTTATCAACTTTTCCCACTTTGTTTCTAACAGAAGTGTACTTTATTTGTTGTTATTATTATTCATATAGCACTTAAAGCATGTCCTCTTTGCCTTAGCTGATTTGGTCTTCACAACTACCTTGTAAGGGAATTGGGGACTATTATCTCCATTTTATAGGTGAGGATACTGAGGCTCAGAAAAGCGACATGAATGGTTCAGAGTGCTAAAATGAGCTGATGGTATATGGCCTGGATTGGTAGCCAAGGCTTTTGATTCTCAGCCACTGCCCCACCTCCAATATCCTGTTGCCTCTGGATGCCTTCCCTCTCACCTCTGATTTATCTGAACTTCTGTTCTCCTGGGGCCGTTCCTCAAACAACATGTAGCCCCAAACCCTGTTCCTCTTCCTGGCCAAAATCTACATCACTACTTCCATTTCTTTTTGTTCCTTTCTTCCTTTTTTTTTCTTTTGAACCTTTCCATTCCCAACTGGAGAATTGGGGCTGGACATCCATGTTTTAGAGACATTGTACCTCCAACTGTTATCAGTTCTTTCCTCTGTCTCCTGCTTTGTTAATTCCAAGATGCCCCAAACAGAAGACATGAGACCACAGCCAATCTTCTGCTCACCCACCTGTCTGATGATTACCTGCTACAGAACGGGGTGGGAAACATTTCCAGGAAGGAGAGGGCCAGGCAGCAGCTGGGTCTACACTGGGCTTCCTAGAATAACTGCAGGGGAACCCGTCTAGCAAGAAGACACCTCTGACAGTGTGGAGCCAGGAGGCAGGGGCTGAGTCCTCAGGGACACCCCATCCTGGGTGGAGGCATGTGGTTGATAAAGTCACACAGGAGTTAAAAATAACTGACTGTCAAAATACCCTGGAAAGTCACTTAAATCAATAATTATGCAAAGTGTGTGGTTTTATGTATTCATGTTGAATTCTAATTGTTAGACATGCTGAAGGCTGAGAAACTGTGAGCTAATCTAAAGTAGGGAACCTAGGCCGGGCGCAATGGCTCATGCCTATAATCCCAGCACTTTGGGAGACTGAGGTGAGAAGATCACTTGAGCCCAGGAGTTCAAGTCCAGCCTGAGCAACATAGAGAGACCCCTATCTCCACAAAAAAATTTGAAAAATTCACTGAGCATGCTGGTGTGTGCCTGTGGTCCCAGCTACTCGGGATGCTGAGGTGGGAGGATTGCTTGACCCCAGGAGCTCACAGCTGTAGTGAGCTATGATTGCACCACTGCACTCCAGCCTGGATGACAGGGTGAGACCGTCTCTAACAAAAAAACTTAAAAATAGAAATAAAATAAAACAAATAGAGAACCTAAAGGGGACATGTCCAGGCATTCCCATCCCTCTGCCTTTAAGAAATTCCCAGCTGTGGTCAGTGTGCAGGCTGGTGTGGATGGAGGATGGAGGACTCTGCAGACCCTCCCCACCTGGGTGGATTCCACTGCACTTGGACATTGGGCCTCCCTCATGTTAACAAAGGTAGTGGCTGTCATGAGGCTTAAAGGGCACACAGTAGGGTTGTGCGTCTTCCACAGGGGTCAGGTTCTCAAATCAGCTCTCATGAGCACAGTCAGCTGAGGGACCATGGGGAATCACCTCCTCTCTCTGACCAGCAGTTTTTAAAAATGACCTCAAGGAGCCCCAGGATTCAGTGGCCTCACCTCAAGGGTGAACCTGGGGTTGAGGGGTGGGCCAGCCCATGGGGCCTCCCTAACGTCAACCCAGGCAACTCTGCTTTCTTCTGCTCTATCTCATTAGATTCCATGGAGGATTCTGTCAGCTAAATGAAAGTTTGCCAACCACTGACCCATTCCAGGCGGGGTATTTTCCCCCTGGGGAAACATGTCTTCCCCTCACTTCTGTCCTGCCTCTTCCCTGCAGCGCTGGGACTGGCACAAGGCCACACCTCCGGGGGCTGCAGAGCCACACACACATCCCTAGTCTGAGGCCATAGGACTGAAGTCCCTGAGGGTCTCAAAGCTTCCCCCTCCCAAAGAAGCTAGGAGGGGCAATGACGATGAGCTTGGAGAGGCTGACAGGCCGTCCCCTTTCATTCCTGTGACACACCAAGGCCAACTCATCCTAATACCAACCAGATGGGACTCTCATAGAGCCCCGTTTTATTTAAGTTTTTTTTATTTATTTTTTGTTTGTTTGTTTTGTTTTTGTTTTTGTTTGAGATGGAGTCTCCCTCTGTCACCCAGCTGGAGTGCAGTGGCGTGATCTTGGCTCACTACAACCTCCACCTTCCAGGTTCAAGCGATTCTCCTGCCTCAGCCTCCTGAGTAGCTGGGATTACAGGTGCCCACCGCCATGCCCAGCTAATTTTTTGTATTTTTACTAGAGACAGGGTTTCACCATGTTGGCCAGGCTAGTCTCGAACTCCTGGGCTCAAGTATTCCACCCGCCTCGGCCTCCCAAAGTGCTGGGATTACAGGCGTGAGCCACCGTGCCCAGCTGAACCCCATTTTATAGATGGAAGAACCGGGAGAGGAGGTCATTTGACCAAGACTATCCCATCTCTAAGTGGTGGGCCTGGGATTTGAACTCTGGTAGCCTGGCTCCAGAGACCCTGCTGTTACTCACTGTGCCTCTCAAAGAGACTTGGTAAACAAACCAACTAGGCCCGACCACAACATGTTGAGGCTGACTTTCTAACAAGCTAGCATATTCCACATCCACACTCACATGCACACATCCCGTTGGGTAAGACCCGTGTGTGTTGGGAAACGCAGAGTGAGGACGGCTCACTTATTCCAACAGTATTCCAATGGGCCCAACACATTCCTGAGACTTGCCTTTGAGAATTGCCCTTGGGGACTCCTGAATTTCCCAGATAGTGGCAGCTCCTCAGCCCCTGGACCTGCATAGGACTTTTGCATCCAGCCTCAACCCTTGGGTGTCAAATCTGGTGAACAGGCTCAGTGATCATGCCTAGGTGATGTTGTCTTTGGATAAAAACTGAGGCCGTAAAGTAACAAGACTGACTTCCCCACGGGGCTGGTAAAAGGGCCCTCCAGGCCAGTGGAAGAAGTGTTTCACCTCCCCAGGTGGCTCCTAAAGTGGACAGGAGAGTCATCTGGATCTGTCTACTTGGGCGTGTTGAGTGAAAAACAAAAATGTCAGCTCCATTCTTCACAGTCACGCCTCTGAAGCCAACAAGTCATGAACTTGGAGTTGTTTTTCCAGTGGTGCAGATGAATTTCCACTGATTTGCACACTCACTCACCCGCTCCATGGCTCTGCCTCACAAGGAATGACACACATTTTCGAGAAGGCTGGCCAGGTGAGGAGTTCAGCCCAAGGCCACGCGCAGAGAGACGCTCAGTGACCCTTGATGAGAATGAGTCACAGCACCAAGCTCCAACCAGAGCGGGCTGGCCGCGTCCCATCCCTAATTCCTCAGAAAAATGCAGTTGCTGAGCTTACACGCCGTCTTGCAGGAAGCCACCTCGCCCCTGTCAGGCTTCCCTCCCGCACTGGTTCGCGAGAGCCGGCACCACTGCCTTCTCTCAAATGGTCCCTCTGCTGCCTAACTGGTGCCCTCTTGGCGCCAAAAGACCAATCCCCTAAAGTCTTCACTCAACATAGCCACTGATTCCTGGGCCTCCCAGGCTGGTCACTGGCCCCAAACAAAGAGCTCAAGGTACCGGGACACCAGCAACAAGAATCGAGCATCTTCCAGATCCTGCTTCCACATGGTTTCCCACTCCTCTGATTCCCTTGAATGAAAAACGGTAGGAAACAGCCCAGGAAAACAGCCACAAAGAGGGAGTGCTGAACTCACTGCGCGAAAGAGGGCCAAGAATCCCCAACAGGCTGCCCATGACGAAGAGAATACCACATTCACTTTGTGTCATTTTCCGAGCCAGGCACCCACCAAGTGGGACCATGGATCTCCAAGTCTCTGGAACGCACAACCTGGATCAACAGGTGCAATTCCCATATTCTCTCTTCAAAAACTGACCTTGTAAGAGGGCAAATGTTTGCCCTGGAGGGAAGGAAGCAGAGGCTGAGCATTATTTGCTGGGGTCAAGTATACAGGAGACTCCTGCACTCGGCGGGAGGGCAGATGCTGGAGGATCTCTATGGTCCTCTCAACCTCTAAAATCAAATGAGTTCAGGAAGACCCAGCACAAGGAAAGACACAAACAAACATCCCTCCAGCTACCACTGAAGTTAGGCTTTGAAGACGGATTTCCATCCCAGGCTATTCTGGTGGCAAAGTTGCCCTGAAATTTGTGCCCTGACTCAATGAACTCCCAGGGTGGGAGGTGATGGAGAACTCTCGTGGGGACTTGTTTGATAAGTTCAGTTTCTTCCCAGATGACTCATGTTCAGGTTCAACTCTCTGAATCACCTTGCACCCACCTTCACCCGCGGCTTTGATTCCCACCTTCCACCCCCAAGTCTCGGCGCTCAGGAGACAGGTGTCTGGGGCCCAGGTGGGATACGCGACTCCTCCCAGCCACTGTTTGCAAATGCGGCCCCTGTGCATGGCTGCTTGGGCCTTGCCGGGCCTCCGCTGTGCAAAGTGAATCACAGCTGCCAGGCTGCTTTCAATATCCGCTCGTCCTCGCTGGCCTACCAGCCAGACGGTCCCCCCACCCCTTTCTCTTTGAAGAAAAGTGATTTAATTTCAGGAGACTTTGGGGTAATCATGTTATGATCTTCAACATTAACCAGAACCAACTCCCTGCTACAGGAGGGTGGGGAAGGAAAGAGGAAGAAAAAAGTAAACAGTCCCATTCCGGATTGCCAGAAATGAGAGGAAAAAGAAAATCACAGCAGCTGCTTTGCTGGTTCCCCGACTAGGAGAGGCCTCTGCCAGAAACGGGGCCTCCGTGCCAAGGTTTCTGGAAACAAGGAAGTTGGGCTTGGCAGGGCCTCCCTTTCTACAGGTTAATCAACTCAATTCTGGGGGGAGAGATATTGCTTTTCATTCTTTAGCCTATCTTCTCCTCCCGCTTATTCCCACCCCTGCCTCCCACTCACTTCCCATCACCGCTGCATTCCCCAACTTAGGTTACCCGACAGCCTCCTCTCCCAGAATGCAGGGGGCCTCCCTGCCTCCTCTCCGAGGCGGGCACGCAAAGCTACTCCGGAGACCAGGTCAAACAGCCACCTTCAATTTTCCTGAAGGGCTTCACCTCCACATCCCCGCCCACCTCTCAAAGCTTTTTGGGCAACAAAATGAGGTTTGATGAGAAGGCCGGGTTGAGAGAAGGCAAGAATAAGTTGGGGGGTAGGGGTAGAAGTGAGGCTTAAGAAAATAAGAATTCAAGCCCACAAAATCAGAATAGTGCATCTAAGGGTTAGCTGGAGCCAGGGAGGAATTCTCACGAACAATGGTCCTTCTTGGCAGACAGTCCACGGGTGTGGTGCCCGCTTGAAAAAAAAAAAAAAAAACAGCAAATAACCCAGGCTCCAGGGCCACCCGGGAGGGGGCTGGTGTGAAGCTGGAAAGCTGGGGCTAAGGACTCATGAAGACCCCCAGGAAATGATGGATCACGTGGAGAAAGTGCTCCCCTTGGGGTTCCTGCCCGAGAAGCATCTTGCCAGACCTCAGCTGTGCAAAGGGCAGAGATCCTACTCCCAGCCCCGGCTTCCCTCCCGACTCTCGGGGCTGCGTGTGTGCTCAGATCCCACAAAGGCATCTACAGCATCTCTCACCCCTCCCCAGGGATGTGGAAACTGCAGCATCTGCCAGGGGCTGTGAAATGTAGGGGCCACCATATAAGGCAACTTCTCACACCCCCATCACCTGGTCAGACCCCAGCCTCCATTCATACTGCAAGCTGGGACTCAGAGTGTCTTTAGGAATTCTGGAGGGAAAGAAACCCTGGGCATGACTTTGGAGACATATGTTTGCCATTTGAGTCACTTTCCAAGGTGTAGGGAAAACAATACAAGTGTCATCGGCCACCACTTGACAAGCTCATCACCCCCAGCCTCCATTTGATGCTGCTGGCGAAAGGGCATGCGGGCAGGGTCTCCCGCCCATGGGCAGGCAGGTGGGCATAACTTACCTGCAGCTGTAGGACTGGCCCCAGGGGTGGGTCTGAGCCAAGTCCTTTGGCTTCCACCAGGCATGACAGCCTAGGGCTTAGAAACTATAATTCATTTTAGTACATTTTTTGCAAACATTGTTTTATGGTTTTTTTTTTTAATTTTTAAACTTCATATTTTAAAAATGTCATTTAAGATAAAGGTCACACAGAGTAGAATGGAGGGATTACAGAGTCTAATTACTGAGAATGTGAAACGATATCATTGTATTAGAAAAGTGATCAAAACAGGCTTAGAGCAAGCTGTGGACCGTGTCAGGAGCTTAACACGGTGGTTCCAGAGGCTTCCCTTTAAATGCTTGAGAAACATGGAAGAAAATCACTCTGTCTGAGGTTATCAGTGTTCACACGATCCGTGTTACACCAAAAATAGATCTGTCCCCACAGAGAGCAGGCTCCCTCATGACCGCTGACAGAGGTGAAAAAGAGCTGGACTCTTCAGTGCTCCGGCCTCAGTGGTTTGTGGTTATTCTCTCAATCTGGAAAGTTCCAAGAAGTTGGAGGAAGTGAGGTCTGCGGGCAATGGGAAGAGCCATGGACCACAGAGAGGCTCTGTGGAAGCAACGTGGCGGACACGCAGCATGGGAATGGTCTGAAACAGTCCCCAAAAGTCTTGGGAAGACCGAACTATGGGTCCAGCCCCTACCAAATGATGACTTTGCTCCACAAAGCACATGTAGCTTAAAAGTGAGCTCCAGGACCGGGTGCGGTGGCTCATGCCTGTAATCCCAGCACTTTGGGAGGCGGAGGCGGGCAGATCACCTGAGGTCAGGAATTCGAGACCAGCCTGGCCAACATGGTGAAACCCCATCTCTACTAAAAATACAAAAATTAGCCTGGCATGGTGGCAGGTGCCTGTAATCCCAGCTACTCAGGAGGCTGAGGCAGGAGAATCATTTGAACCCGGGAGGCGGAGGTTGCAGTGAGCAGAGATCGCAACATTGCACTCCAGCCTGGCAGACAAGAATGAGACTTTGTCTCAAAAAAAATAAAAATGTGAGCTCCAAACCAGTGGCAGCTTAGATGAGTGGCAACAGCACCCGACAAGTAGGGCAGGAGACTAAGGTCCTAATTCCATCTTTTCATCACACTTCACTTTTCCAAAGTCTCGGGGGTTTAGGCTCAAAGAGCCATGACTGCTCTCAGTCACTTCTTGTTCCTCTATGACCTCTAAATAGTGAAGACAGTTTGGACAAGAGTAAAACAATTTCCTTTCTCGGGAGAAAGAAGCACGCATGACATTTTCTGAGTTGTCCTAACCAGTGGCTGAAGTGAGATCCACCCGGAAGGCTCATGGCTGACATTTACTGAGCACTTGCTTTGAACCAAACACTGTTCTAAGCCCCTGAATTAACTCATTTAACAACAATCACACGAAGAGGGCAATAATAATAGACAGAAAGAGAAACTGAGTCACAGTGCACCTAAGACATTTGCCCAAGGTCACAGAGTTGATATGTGGTAGAACTAGAGTTTGAACCCACTCAGTGTGGTACAGGGTCCAACCTCTTAGTCCACTAGTCTACACAACCTACGAAGAAGAAGGCGGGTATGTGCTCCAGCCAGGACCATCCCCAGCCACGTGCTGGGGAACATTACCAGACTAGCTCACCCTTTTCTCCCGAAGGCTACCCACTGGTATCTGGGTTACCCACCAAACTCTTCCCAGGAGGATGAGCCACAGGTGGTTCATTTGGCCTGTGCTGTGACACGGGGTCTTGGTACCCTCACCAAGTGGGCAAAGGTAGAATACATCAAGATCACAAATAGGAGATGAAACCTTTAAATGTGTTGTTAATGCGGGGTCAACCTCACTAGCCTTATCCTAAGGAGGAACTGGAAGCCCCTGCCACCTTGTCCTCAGGCACTTCACACTCCTTACTTTGAGGTGCTCCCACCTACTGGTCCTTCTGTCCCCAAATCCCAGTTGGTGACAAGAAGCAGAGTCCCAAGAAGCAGGCAGGGCGAGGCCTCCAAGGTGAAGACTCTGAGAAGTTTGAGGGAGAAAGCTGCTCAGAAAATTCAACCTCCTCTTGAAAAGGAAATAACCTCCTTGGCTTCATTATTTTGTTTTTAACGCAGTGAAAGTGATTAATCCATAGTCAAACCAAAATAGTTTATATACAGGTTCTGCTAAGGTTTCCTCATTACGAAATACGAAATGAGAAAATGTTCATTCTTCTGCTTTGAAATAACAAAAAGCCAATGAAGTGGAAATTAGACTGATTCTTAAAGAAGACCAAAAAGACATGTCCCTAGAACTTAATTTCCATTCTTTTTTTTTTAATTCCCATAGCTATAAACTAGTTGAATAGACCTTTAAAATGTTTTAATAGGAAAATTCCTAGGAGGGGAAGTGAGATCTCGGTGTCTAAAAGGTTCCAATTTAGCAGTTGGGAAAAGTGTTTTAGCAGCTTTTATCCCCACGGGATTGTGAAATTCATCAATACAGTGCTCCTGGTACTGAAGTCTTGATGAACGGTGGAGGAAGCCAGGCTAGGAGGCAAGAGGCTATTTGCAAGGATAGGAAAATTCAGCTCCATACTTTGAAGAGCAGATGAGCTGATTCCTGTACTCATGGAGGGGTGGATGCATGCTGAGTGCAAGGCACCAGCTGGGAAGAGAGCCGTGGGTCAGTCTGTACTGCCGCCATATGGTGTGGACACCAGCCACCAGCCACTCTCTTTCCTGCATCTTAGAGCCCCTTTTGGAAATTCGAGGATGACACACTGTTCCCTCCCAAGGGTCTAACTTAAGAAAAGGCCTATTTTTTAAAAAATCGGGCCAGGCGCGGTGGCTTATGCCTGTAATCCCAGCACTTTGGGAGGCCGAGGTAGGCGGATCATCTAAGGTCAGGAGTTCGAGACCAGCCTGACCAACATGGAGAAACCTCGTCTCTACTAAAAATACAAAATTAGCTGGGTGTGGTGGCACATGCCTGTAATCCCAGCTACTCGGGAGGCTGAGGTAAGAGAATCGCTTGAACCCAGAGGGCAGAGGTTGTGGTGAGCCGAGATCGCACCATTGCACTCCAGCCTGGGCAACGAGAGAAACTCCATCTCAAAAAAAAAAAAAAATTCACACATACACACACACACATAATCTGGCCAGGTGCAGCAGCTCACACCTGTAATCCCAGCGCTTTGGGGGGCCAATGCAGGAGGATCCCTTGAGCCTAGGAGTTCGAGACCAGTCTGGGCAACATAGTAGGACCTCGTCTCTACAAAAATTTGTTTTAAAAATTAGCCAGCTGTGGTGCACATGCCTTTGGTTCTAGCTCCTCAGGAGGCTGAGGAGGGAGGATCACTTAAGCCTGGGAGGTCAAGGCTGCAGTGAGCTGTGATCGCACCACTGTACTCCAACCTGGGTGACAAAGCAAGACTCTGTCTCAGAAAAAAAAGAACATAATCTGATTCCAGTCACACCAAACAGACGTTTCCCTAAACTCATCAATCCCTTCTAGCCTGGTAGTTTATTCATTCATCCAATGAACATTTATTGATTGTCTGCCCTGAGTTAGACATTCTGGGAGGCCCTAAGGCACCGTGCTTGGAGACTGCTCTATGTTGCTCAGGCTGGACTCAAACTCCTCAGCTCAAGCAATCCTCCCACCTCGGCTGGGTTTACAGGCGCACACCAGCATGCCCGGTTTATGATATCTTCAATACAATCTGAACTCTATGGAGGCAGAGGCTAATGTGTGAGTTTGCACCAGAGGCTTCTAGCACCTGAGCCCAGGGCCTCCTGGCTGCCGAGGGATGGACCTAGCTCCCATCCCCCAAGCCCAGAGCCCTCACCCTGAGTCACCTGTTGAGGGGCTAGATGGGCAGAGATGCCTGGAAGAACTAACTCCCGATCCAGGCCTGAAGATGCTTGCACAGCATAAACACGATGGGGCATGGGAGGCGACTGAAGAAGTGAGGAAGATGAGTGGGTTGGGACAGACCAAGAAGGGCCTCAAATTCCACGTAAAGGAGTTTGGACTTAATTCTGTAAGAGACAGGAGTGGAGAATGGAGTCATAAAGGAAGGCAGCTCTGGTGGCTGTGTGAATGGCTGTGTAAATTAATGTATCCCGGGTGCATTTAAGTCAAATGGACCTTATTCCACTGACAAATGTATTTAATACAGTGAAAACTGTTATCTTATTGTAACAGGAGGCTCAAAGAAACAGAGATCCAAAACATTTATTATCTTCTATGGCTCACCCAGAACACATACCCCTGCTTCATACTCAACTTCCACACTTGAAGCTGTATTTAATAGCCTTAGGAGACATTATCATGTCCACATCCCTAACAACATGCCATTTTTTTTTTTTTTTGAGACAGGGTCTTGCTCTGTCGCCCAGGCTGGAGTACAGTGGCACAATCTTGGCTCACTGCAACCTCCGCCTCCTGGGTTCAAGCAATTCTCATGCCTCAGCCTCCCAGGTAGCTGAGACTACAGGTGTGCACCACCATGCCTGGCTAATTTTTGTATTTTTTACAGAGACGGGGTCTTGCCATGTTGGCCCAGCCTCATGTGATCCGCCCACCTCGGCCTCCCAAAGTGCCGACTCCGGCTCAATGTGCCTTTTTTTTTTTTTTTTTGAGATGGAGTCACTCTGTCGCCCAGGCTGGAGTGCAATGGTGCAGTCTCGGCTCACTGCAACCTCCACCTCCTGGGTTCAAGTGATCCTCCTGCCTCAGCCTCCCAAGTAGCTGGGATTGCAGGCATGTGCCAACATGCCCAGTTAATTTTTGTTATTTTTAGTTGAGACGGGGTTTCACCATTTTGGCCAGGCTGGTCTGGAACTCCTGACCTCAGGTGATCTGCCTGCCTTGGCCTCCCAAAGTGCTGGGATTAAAGGCGTGAACCACTGCAACTGGCCACAACGTGCCATTTGTAATATTGCTTACTAACATGATCCATGGTTAAGTTCTACCATTCTGTATATCTGCTATTGAATTTTTTTTTCTTTGAGACGGAGACTCACTCTGTCGCCCAGGCTGGAGTGCAGTGGCACAATCTCAGCTCACTGCAACCTCTGCCCCCAAGATTCAAGCGATTCTCCTGCCTCAGCCTCCTGAGTAGCTGGGATTACAGGTACCCACCACCACACCTGGCTAATTTTTTGTATTTTTAGTAGAGACAGGGTTTCACCATATTGGCCAGGCTGGTCTCAGACTCCTGACCTTGTGATCCGCCCACCTCAGCCTCCCAAAGTGCTGGGATTACAGGTGTGAGCCACCACGCCCGGCTCTGCTATTGAATTTTCTACTTGATCCATACTAAAAGTAACCAATGGAAGCTTATGATGTCTTTATGATATCTTTTTTATTTTTATTTTTTGGAGACGAAGTCCTGCTATGTTGCTCAGGCTGGACTCAAACTCCTCAGCTCAAGTGATCCTCCTGCCTCAGCTTCCTGAGTAGCTGGGATTACAGGTGCACACCATCATGCCCAGGCTTATGACATCTTTAATACAACTAGTGATCTTCTTGACCGGACAATAATATACATAATTGCATTTAACTATATTTTTAATGTCTTATTAATACAATTACATTGCAGTGTCCATCCTACTGCTTTCCTCTACACATATTTATTGTATATATGTTTTATATTTTCTCCGGACACATATGAATGGATTTAATCTCTGGCTAAAGGTAGATATTCTAGTGGGGAAGCCAGGATTAGCAAAATGATAAATGAGGGTTTTGTTCATTTTATGGTCAACTCTGTTAATGATAATAATTTATTTAAATTAAGCTTTCCTTCTTTTCTTGGATCAGTAGATGGTAAAGTGATTAAGTTTCTACATACTTCCCTAACACTTGAGCATAGTCCACAATCTGAGAGGCCACAGAGCCCAGCACAGGATCCTGCTTGGGGTCATTCATGCCTTCCTTCATCCACTGCCGTTTTACTGAGCTCACGGGCTATACCCAGGCCTGGTCTGGAGGCTGGGGCACGGCATCGCAAAGCAGACTTGGTGCTTGCCCTGGTGGCGTTCACAGTTCAATGTCAGGAGACAGGCATTCAGTGAGTGGACAAGTACGAGATCATTTCAGATTGTGAAAGCAAGAGACTGTGGCCATATGGGTGTGTGGGGTCAGTGCTTCAGACCGGGTGTCAGGAAAAGCCTGTCTCAGCAAGGCAATTTGAGCCCAAACCTGAGGGATGAGAAAGAACCAGCCAAGAGCAGACAGAAGAGTGGGAAGAACAGGTGGGCAATGTGGCCACAGTGTGGGCAGGAAACCAGGAGAGGCAGGCTGGGGTCAGACTGGCAGGGAAGGAATCTGTGCCACCGTCCGACGGAGCCACTCTGGGTTTATAGCAAGGGTATTGCTTTTTAACAAGATCACATAAGGCTGGGCACAGTGGCTCACACCTGTAATCCCAGCACTTCAGGAGGTGGAGGCAGGCAGATCACCTGAGGTCAGGAGTTCGAGACCAGCCTGGTCAACATAGTAAAACACTGTCTCTACTAAAAATACAAAAATTAGCCGGTTGTGGTGGTGCACACCTGTAATCCCAAATACTCAGGAGGCTGAGGCAGGAGAATTGTTTGAACCCGGGAAGTGGAGGTTGCAGTGAGCCGAGATTGCACCACTGCACTCCAGCCTGGGCGACAGAGAGAGGCGCCATCTCAATAAATAAATTAATTAATAAAAATAAAATGAATGGGGCATGGTGGTGCACACCTGTAGTGCCAGCTACTTGGGCAGCTGAGGTGGGAGGATTGCTTGAGCCTGCGAGGTCAAGGCTGCAGTGAGCTGTGATCAGCACTCCTGCCTGAGTAACAAAGCAAGACCCTGTCTCAAAAAAAAAGAGATCACACTGCTGTTGTGTGGAAATGGATCAAACTGAGGAGCTAGTGGAAGCAGGAAACCAAGGAAGGAACTACCAGAGCCATCCAGGGGGATGGTGACTCGGCAGTGTGAATGATGTGAATGATGTCATGAAATACACTATGAACGATGTGTGAATGATGACAGTGTGCAGGATGACATGAAATACACCGAGTAGGGGATGGTACTCATCAGACTCAGGGAGGAACTGATTGGGGATGGGGGAGTGAAAGAAAAAGAGGGATTTGGAACAACCCTCCTAGGTATCTGGCCTGAGCAGCTTGAGGTGCCCATGAGGCATCGACGCAGAAGTGAGAAATGGGGAGCTGTGGGGTCTGAAGCTCAAAAGAGAAGTCAGGGCCAGAGAGGTAAAACAGAGAGGCTTGGCATCACTTTATGGAAAGCCATGAAAATGGCAGCGGTCATTTACAGAGAGAATGTGTACAGGGAAGGGAGAACCCTGGGGCGAGCTCCTGGATGTGGAAGTCAGTTAGAGGAGAAGGCTGGCCAGGAAGTGGGTGGATGGATGGAAGCATGGATAGAGCATGGACCGATGAATGAATGGATGCAAGGATTTACATACAAACGACCCTAAACAACTATTCACTTTCCTCCCCATGGAATGTTTGGTTTCCACTTACCTACAAACAATATAACCCCTTTCCTGTTCCTCCAAGGAGAGCAATAAACTACAACTACCCACCAGACCTTGAAGAAGCTATAGTAAAAAAAAGGGACCATTACAGTTAGGATGCTTGTATTTCTTACTTAGTAATTGAAAAAATAAATAAATCATACTGGAAAACCCAGTAAGGAAAAGCGAATGAGATGGGTTTCCCTCATTCTCATGAGCAGTTGGTAGTGACAACAGCTCCTTCCTCAAGGCATGCATCTGCCTTGGCTAAAAAAAAAATCTTTGGGGCTCACGCCTGTAATCCTAGCACTTTGGGAGGCCGAGGCGGGCGGATCACGAGGTCAGGAGATCGAGACCATCCTGGCTAACACGGTGAAACCCCATCTCTACTAAAAATACAAAAAAATTAGCCAGGCGTGGTGGCGGGCACCTGCAGTCCCAGCTACTCGGGAGGCTGAGGCAGGAGAATGGCATGAACCCGGGAGGCAGAGCTTGCAGTGAGCTGAGATTGCGCCACTGCACTCCGGCCTGGGAGACAGCAAGACTCTGTCACCAAAAAAAAAAAAACTTTGCTCTGCTAACCACCTGCACTTACCTCTTTCATAGCTCAATGTGGAACTTTTGGATTATGGACTGAATCCTGACTTTGAGTTTGGACCATGGAGAAACACCATTTTGTGCTTATTGTGGCAAAATACAACAAAGCTTTAAAAGTCATTAATGGGCTGGGAGCGGTGGCTCACGCCTGTAATCCCTGCACTTTGGGAGGCCGAGGTGGGTGGATTCCCTGAGGCCAGGAGTTCGAGACCAGCCTGGCCAACATGATGAAACCCTGTCTCTACTAAAAATACAAAAAATTAGCTGAGCATGGTGGCCAGTACCTGTAATCCCAGCTACTCAGGAGGCTGAGGCAGGATAATCACTTGAACCCGGGAGGTGGAGGTTGCAGTGAGCCAAGATTGTGCCACTGCACTCCAGCCTAGGCAACAAGAGCAAAACTCCGTCAAAAAAAAAAAAAGTCATTAATGATAATACCTATAAAAGACTATAGGATAAATAAAAAATAGTCTTTCCCTTTGGAAAAAAGAAAAAGAAAAGATAGTCTCATCTCTGGGACAGGATTTCTCAGTGGAAAATAGGAAAAGCAGAAGCTCAAAAAAGATGTACTTTCAGATTTTAGATAGGCATACAACACATTCTGAAAATGTTTCCCACAATCCTGTATTATTATTATTTTTTTTTACTTAAGGGCGACGCTGGCAAATGCTGTTACATTTCTACTACGAGCTGACGTTGTGACACCTACAGACACGCTGGGTGTCAGAGCACCCCATCACACGATACATGAAGTGTAATCCCCGAACATAATTTTATGTGCTATTTTTCTGAGCTTTCTCTTGAAAAGCTGGGTGACTTCTTGGGTAGCAGCAATTTACCTTTCACACTTCTGTAATAATCAAGGTGCCTGATTGCCCTGAATAACATTCCAGGCTGTCAGAATACTTCATGGTTGTGAATTAGCATTTCAAAACCTTTTGAAACCAAGGGTAGGAGGGCTTTTTTTTCCTTAGCTAAAGGTTCCCCTGGCTGCAAAGAAGCGAGTGTTAAGTGCACACCTGGAGGAGCCATATTTCTGTATGAGAATACTGGATGGGAGGTCTCAAAAAATGTGTCAGAAAGCTCGAGTAACATTCTGGCTCAATTATCATACAGCCTGACATTTGCAGAAAGGGTCTAAGTTCAAGCATGCTGCTCCGTGTGTCTGTAACTCATGAAAACAATCTGAAAATCCCAACACTTTAGGTACAGAAACAGCATTTTCCTAGATGGCTTCTCCAGCCCAGAAAGGGGAATAAAAACCTTTTATGAGGCCGTGGCCCCTCATTCGGAATTGGGACAACTTCATTCCAAGGAAGTCTGTGGTCATCAAAATATTACAATGCCCTGAAAGATTTTTTGTTGGCAGTCTGAGCCTCGGGGACTAAAAATCTACTGAGATGCAAGATTGATTCAGGAACAAAACCACCTGATTTAATGAGTGATTGCTCTCACAGCCATATCCAGTGGCCATCGTTTACGCCATTTCATCAGGCTTGTCCCCTGCTAAAAACTGCTCCTGGCTGGCTGTGGTGGCTCACACCTGTAATCCCAGCACTTTGGGAGACCGAGGCAGGCGCATCACGAGGTCAGGAGTTCAAGACCAGCCTGGCCAACATGGTGAAACACCGTCTTTACTAAAAATACAAAAAATTAGCTCAGCGTGGTGGCAGGCACCTGTAATCCCAGCCACTTGGGAGGCTGAGGCAGGAGAATTGCTTGAACCCGGGAGGTGGAGGTTTCAGTGAGCCAAGACCACGCCACTGGACTCTGGTCTGGGCGACAGAGCGAGAATCCGTCTCAAAAAAACAAAACAAAACAAAATAAAACAAAAACAACAACAACAACAAAAAAACTGCTCCTGGATGCCCATCGCTTACCAGTGGTTCTCCAAATGTGGACAGACTAGCAATATCAACACCACCTGGGCACTTGTTAGATATCAAATCCTAGGGCCCCACTCCAAACCTATCTTTGAGGAAGGGCCCAGCAATCTGTGACTCTGAAGCAGGCCAAAATGTGACAACCACTTGTCTAGATAAACCCCACCTTCCTTAGCCTGGCCACCACCTTGCCCATACCCGGTCTCTGCTCCATCTCCTCCTATGCTCCTACTGGGAGCCAAGGTTCCAGCCAACTGTCTCATTGACACATGTTCTCTAGAAAGGCCAGACCCCCCCTTACCCTTTGGGCCACTGTCACTCATTCCACTCACCTGCCTAGAATCAGCCACCTTCCTCACTCTATTTTCAACTGCCACCTTCCTCACTCTATTTTCAACTGACACTCAAGTTCTAGAAAGGAACTGAGCCCTCCCCTTCCTCCTCCACCAGGCCTTCTCCACCTCCCTAGAAACCATGGGGCTCTGTTGGTTGGATCAGAATGCTCTATCACTACAAAAGAACATGATGATCTTTCCCCTGTGCAAAGCAAACAACCTAAGGTGATTCAACCAAGGTCACTGTGGTTGAGTAATTTTTTCAACTTCATGCTTTTTAAATTATACCTTCATCCTAAACCTTTGTTGCCTACTTTTTTTTTTTTTTTTTGAGACAGAGTCTTGCTCTGTCACCAGGCTGGAATGCAATGGTACAATCTCGGCTCACTGCAACCTCCGCCTCCCAGGTTCAAGTGATTCTCCTGCCTCAGCCTCCCGAGTAGCTTGGACTACAGGCACGCGCCACCATGCCCAGTTAATTTTTGTATTTTTAGTAGAGATGGCGTTTCACCATGTTGGCCAGGATGGTCTCGATCTCTTAACCTCGTGATCTGCCTGCCTTGGCCTCCCAAAGTGCTGGGATTACAGGCATGAGCCACTGCACCCGGGCTGCCTACTCCTTTTTATCCCACTTGAGAGCTAGCTGGCTAATGGCAAAACAGATATTATGAGTCCCCGTGCTGTTTGCTACACACCTCCTGAAGCCCAATGTTAAAACCATTCATTTGACAGTTACCATGGCCGTCCTCAACTGCTGGTTATCTTCTGTTATAAAATTCACAGTTGACCTCTGAACAACACAGGAGTTAGGGACACCAATGCCCCACACAGTAAAAAACCCGCGTATAACTTTTAACTCCTCAAAAACTGAACTGATAGTAGCCTACTGTTGACTGGAAGCCTTATGGATAACATAAACAGTTAATAATACATATTGTATATGTTTTATGTATTAGATACTGTATTCTTACAATAAAACATGTTAGAAAAAAGAAACTGTTATGAAGAAAACCATAAGGAAGAGAAAATATATTTACTGTTCATTAAGTGGAAGTGGATCATCATAAAGGTCTTCATCCTTGTCATCTTCACACGGAGTAGGCTGAGGAGGAGAGGAGGGGTGGGTCTTGCTGACTCTGGGGTAGCAGAGGAGGAAGAAAATCCATGTATAAATGGATCCTCAACGTTCAAGCCTGTGTTGTTCGAGGGCCAACTGTACGCTTATCATTATGTATCCTACTCTAATGATAATGGCTAGTATTTTGCATAGATATGTACACTCCCATTTGCATACATACACCCCGTATGCAGTAAGTGCAGTTTCTTCCGACAGGTGCCATTTTTGCCACTGTGACCCTCCCCTCCCTGGGCCCCAGTGCTCCGAAACATGCTCACTTAGCCATACGTGGCCCTGGTGGTTTAGACTTGCCCTCTTGAGTCTTCCCATCTGCAAGGGTCTTTTTTTTTTTTTTTTTTTGTAATTGAGGTGAAATTCACAAAACATAAAATGAGTCATTTAAAATAGACAATCCGGTGGCATTTAGTACATTCCCAAAGCTGTACAACCATCACCTCTGTCTAGTTTCAAAATGTTTTCATCTTCCCTAAAGGAGATTCCATAACTTACTAGGCAGTCACTCCCCATTTCCCCTTCCTCCCGCCCCTGGCAATCACTAATCTGCTTTGCCTCTTCTGGACATTTCACATAAATGTAACCATATCATATGTGCCCTTTTGTGTCTGGCTTCTTTCACTTGGCATACTGTTTCTGTGGTTCCTTCACACTGTAGCATATATAAGTTGTACTTCATTCCCTTTTCTGGCTGAGTGATATTACGTAGGGTGGATAGACCATATTTTGTTTATCCATTCATTTGTTCACGGACATGTGGGTTGTTTCCACCTTTTGGCTATTGTGAATAATGTTGCCATGAGCATTCATATACAAGTAGTTGTCTGAATACCTGTTTTCAGTTCTAAATACCTGTTTTCAGTGTAAATACCTAGGAGAGGCATTGCTGGGTCACACTGCAATTCTAGGTTCAGATTTTTGAGGATTTGCGTAAGTTCCTCCATCTGTACCTGCTGCATTTTCCCCAGGGTTATTTGTGGGCAGGAACCACACCTCAGTCACCGTCATATTAAACCCAGGATTCAGCATGTGCCGGCCACGTAGCAGGTAGGCATCACCATGAATGATAATATAGAGGGCTTACTGTGTACCAGGTGCTATTCTATGCACTTTACGTGTATGAAATTATTTAATGCTCCTAACAGCCCTCTGAGACAGGTACTATCATTATCTCCATTGTTGAAAGGAGGACTCTGAAATGCACAGACATTAAAGAACTTGCTCAGAGCCACAGCCAGGAAGTGGCCGAGTCTGGATTTGAACCCAGGTAGTCTAACTCCAGATTGTGGGCTCTTAAACCACTCTACTGTCTGCCTCTCTCATGTTTGGCTCCCTTCAACTCCTTAAAGACAAATTCTAGGCGGGGGCAAGCTTCCCGTTACCTGGGGCTCAAAAAATATAAATGGTCAAACCCAGGAAAAGAATTCATGATGGAAAATATCTAGCTTCTAAGAATCTACTGCTGTTTTCCATTCTTTTCTCTAAGCTATTTTTTTCTTTTTTCTTTTCTTTTTTTTTTTTTTTTTTTTTTTTTTTGAGTGCCTACCATGGGCCAAGGATCTTACATGGACCCTAAGCCTTGCAAAAATCCTATAAGGTATCCTACAAGGTCGGTATAATAATCCCCACTTTATGGATAAGAAAAGTGAGGCTTTTAACACACAATGCTAAGTCTTAAGACTTGGCCATGTGGGGCCACTTAGGGCCAGAACACAGAAACGTACATAATTCCCTACACGGCATTCAATAGGATGCACTAACTAATGTTCATATGAATGACCTGAGACAATAAGAAAGGCCTAGATGATGTTTGAGCTCTGTTTAAAAAGGCAGGTAAGTACAAAAATGCATTTCAGAAAGATTGTTATTCAAAAATGATTCAGATGATGCACTAAAATCTCAGAATTCACCACAACAGAATTCATCCATGTAACCAAAAACCACTTGTACCCCAACAGCTATTGAAATAAAAAATAAATAAATAGGACGAACATAGTGGCTCATGCCTGTAATCCCAGCACCTTGGGAGGCCGAGGCAGGCATATTTTCCTGAGCTCAGGAGTTTCTGATCAGCCTGGGCAACATGGCAAATCCCCGTCTCTACTAAAAATACAAAAAATTAGCCAGGCATGGTGGCATGTGCCTGTAGTCCCAGCTACTCGGGAGGCTGAGGCAGGAGAATCGCTAGAATCCAGGAGGCGGAGGTTGCAGTGAGCTGAGATCGTGCCACTGCACTCCAGCCTGGACAACACAGCGAGACTCTGTCTCCAAAAATAAACAAATAAATAGATGATGGGAGAAACATTTAAAAATTTTAAAAATGAACTGGCAATGTTTTTCCCTGGCCAAACAAGTCTATAATATTGGACCTGTAAAAATACGATTCTCATGAAATTAAAAGTGTTGCACTTAAAGGAGCCACGTGTCATTTTCTGGAAAACGTCCTTACGTGGAACCTGATTGTGGGGCCGGCTTCCCAGTGGGGCAGCAATCCTGCCTTCGTGCCTGATGGTTTAAAGGAGATGTTTTGTAAACAGCAACCAGCAGATGAATTTTATAAAAACAAGGAAGAAACAGCAGCCAAAGTATTACAGAATGGAAAATACCCGAGAAATCAATGAAAACGGGGAGATGAAGGAGTGTTCACCAGAGTGAAAAGGAGGTCACCAAGAGGCAGGCAGGTCACACAACTGCCCCTGGAAAGCAAACCCCGGGGAAGAGCAGAAAGCAAACAATATAGTGATAAGCCCGGGCAATCACTAGGAAACAGACTCAGGGGTCACAGGATCTGTGTGCAATCAACCAGTCACACGTAAAATTGAGGATTAAGTGATGAAATTATTTCAGCCAACATACCCCAATTGCCAGTTGTTTGTACAGCAAATTCAGTGGGAGCAAAAATAATGCTGTACATGTTGGTCCCAGGCCTCTCTTGAGAAACTGTGTCCCTGGGGACCACAGGGGTCCTTTGGTCATGCTGAGGGTGAAGTGGGGGTGGGGGGCAAAAAGAAGAGGACAGGGCTCTGCGGGGTGAGGGGGAGAAGGGGGTACACTCCAGCCCCCACCTCAACAACACCTTCTTCAGCCAAAGCAGCCCGAGTTTTGCCTGTTTTCCACACTGAGTTTCCAAATAAGATTTTGCATGGAGAAAGAATCCTAAGGATGAAAAGCGCTTGCCCTGATAACATCACAGGGGGGCCTCTGTTGAAGGGACGAGACGGGGGGCACACAGCAAGCACGCAGGCACGAAAGGCGTTGTCTTTACTATCTCATCTCTCCAGCGTCTTTTCATCCTTCATGCTGGACCAGTCCCACGCCCCATCAGTTCTTCCTTCAAAAAGCCATTGCCACATCTCACGGGGTGGAGCCCCTGCTTCTGGACTCTGAGCAGAGCCTGGGTTAAGTGCTCACATCACTACCCAGGCCATCACACTCCAGGGCACGTTTCCAGTGAGCTGGGCTGTGGCCTCATTCTGGACGGTGCTCATAGAACACGAGTGCCCTTCCTCGGCCCCAAACTACCCCAGGCCATCACTCAGCACCCCACACACTCTACCTGAGGCTGACCAGCTACTGTTGGTCTGACCAGAGCTGTTGAGCCAGACCTACTTGGTGGTCTCTAACTCAGGACTCTCCAGCCCAGGGTCCTTCCCTGCTTCTGCTTTGTACCCATTAGCCACCAACTAACAGAAAGACAGACCACCATCCTATCTAAAATTCTCTCATGGCTTCCCATAGACCTCAAAATTAAATCTAACTCCTCACCGTGCCCACAAGATGGCGGCTCCCCATCAAAACCATCAAGATGGCGGCACTCAGCCGGGCACAGTGGCTCACACCAGTAATCCCAACACTTTGGGAGGCCAAGGCAGGCAGATCACTTGAGGTCAGGAGTTTGAGACCAGTCTGACCAACATGGTGAAACCTCGTCCCTACTAAAAATACAAAAATTAGCCAGGTGTGGTGGCACATGCCTGTAATCCCAGCTACTCGGGAGGCTGAGGCAGGAGAATTGCTTGAACCCGGGAGGCGGAGGTTGCAGTGAGCAGAGGTCACGCCGTTGTACTCCAGCCTGGGCAACAAGAGGGAAACTCTGTCAAAAAAAAAAATTAGCCAGGCATAATGGTGTGCACCTGTAGTCCCAGCTTCTCTAGAGGCTGAGGCAGGAGGATCACCTGAGTCTGGGAGGTTGAGGCTGCAGTGAGCACAGATTGCGCCATTGCACTCCAGCCTGGGCAACAAGAGCGAAACTCGGTCTCAAAAACAAAAAAACAAAAAATAAAAATTAGCCAGGCATAATGGCATGCACCTGTAGTCCCAGCTACTCTGGAGACTGAGGCAGGAGGATCACCCGAGCCTGGGAGGTTGAGGCTGCAGTGAGCCATGACTGCCCCACCGCACTCTAGTGTGGGCAACAGAGTGAGACCCTGTCTCAAAAAAATAAAAATTAAAAAAAAGATGTCTGCCTTCCCATCAAGCCCATCAAGATGGTATCCATCCTGCCTTCCTCTCCTCTTCCCACCTTCCTCCACACTGGCCTTTGCTCTGTTGCTCAAACGTGGCAAGCTCCTTCCTGCACCAGGACCTCCTCACGTCTTCTCTTGACCTGAAATGGTCTCACCCCCAGTCTCCGCAGGGTTGGCTCCTTCTCCTCATTCAGGTCTCAGGTCAAATGGTCCCTCCTCAGATAGGCCTCACCTGGTGCCTTGTCTAAATGCTGCCCTCCAGTCACTACCTGATGTTAGTTCTCATCACTTCTTTTACTTCTGCTGCTCAACCCCAATAGAACATCAGCTTTTTGAGAGCAGAGATGGCCTGTCCCTCTCTGGACAGCATTGTCCAGTGGTGCAGTGGTGCAGGCAGCGGTTAGCATTCTGCCTGGATGCAGTGGGTGTTCAATAACCAGTTGTTGTTTGAGTGAGTGAATGGATGAGTCATGAATGAAGGAGAGAATGAATAAGTGAATGAATGGACTGAATGAATGAGTGCATGAATCAATACAGCAAGATGTGCAGAAGTGTCTCTGATCAGATGGGACCCACACAGCAGTCCTCAGATCAACATTGTTGCCCTTCGCTCAGAGAGGCTGAAACCCAGCAAATTCCAGTCCAGCCTCTACTGAGGCGCTCTGTTCGCCATTTAACCCAACCAAGGAGCTGCCAAGAGGGCATGTGTACCCTATTCCTCTTTTTCATAACGCAGATAAAACTTTTACACTGTCCATTAAAACCGCTATTGTTTAGCCCTCCCCTAAGGAAACTTCAAAACTAAAATTCCTTTCTCCCCTCATTTTGCCCCTTTGTTGCGACAGAAATGCTCCATTTAGCATTCCTAAAGGGCCATTAGCATCCCAAAGCTTTCGCTGTGCTGCCCGGCTGGGGACTTGTGTTCCTGATGGACGGACTCCGGCTCCGGGCCCACCGAGAGGCTCAGGCTGAAACATAGCCCCTCGTCGTCCCCTGCCACTTGGCGTAATCTCCCTGCGAGCTCGCCAAACTCACGGTGCTCTCTCATTTCAGATATTTAGCATGTCTTCTCATTCTCCCACTCTTGTTCTGAATGATTTCTCTCCCTCCTCCTTTCTTTCTGCCTCATAAGGGCACCTTTTGATGGATACTGTATGGGGGAAACTTTTTCATTCCAGTAAAAGACCCCCCTCTACAAGGCAAGATGAATATCCCCATTATAGAACAAACAGGGGGCTTTAATCCTTCCCTCGCTGCCCCGCCTTCCATTCACCCTCCATCCTTGTTCAAAGAGAAAGTGGAAGCCAATTTCCCCGTGAGGCAGGTCGGGCCGACCTGGGCAGGCGGCTTCTCCCAAGGCGGGCTCTCGTGTTTCCATGCCTCGGGCAGGCCTGAATAAGTGATTCCTCCTGAAGTTAACATCTCGGCTCTTCGGGGATCCACTCTGTGTGGCACATTGTTCTAGATAATCACTCTGCTGCTGAAATTAGCTTGTGAATCAGACAAAAAGCCTTCTGGAAATGCTAACCCAGTTGCTAGGTTCTTTCTCTGGGAGAGAGAATCGTGTTCACTGTCCGCCCTTCGTTCCCATCAGGCTGGAGTCTCCTTTTTCATGGCAGCCTCGCATTTACTATCACAGTATCTAAAAAAAATCAGATGTCAGGCACCCAACGGGGATCCCTGCCAAGGCAAACGTGAGACCACCCAGTCCCTGGGAAAGGCAACTTGGTAGCCCAAGGCACTCAAGCACATGTCCTTGAGTGAGGGGGACTACGTGCCTGACCTGGTGTGGCTGAAGCATGGCCCACCTTCATGAGCCCTGCTTAAGGGAGGCTAGACACTCCCTTTTCACCTGTGAAGCCACTAGCTCCATGAGCCATTTGCTGGCCCTTCATACAGCTGGTCATTTCATTTGGGTTCACAGATTTCCTTCATTTCTTTTCTTATTCATGGTCTCTAAATAGGCTGCCCCCAAAAGCAAGAAGCCGAAGGTGGCTGTCTCTTTTTTCATATTTTCCACTGATGTATTTATCCACTGTATATGTACTAAGCATCTGCAATGTGCCAGCATCCTGCTAGACCCTGAGGACAGAAAGATAACAGTCGGAATCCTTGTCCTCCAGGGAATCCGAATCTGCTGGAGGTGGGAGGGAGGGGAGAAGTACTCATTTTCAGAAGTTCTACAGCAACGTCCACAGGGGACCTGCTTTAGATAGAACTTCTGCTGCAGGACTTAAATTTGTGTGTTGGAGAGGCAAGGGAATGCAGTGATTTTCTTAATTGATTAATTTCTAATAAAGTAATCATTAGTCCAGAGCTTTTACAACAGCTCTCCCAAACCCCCTGAGTAACACAGTAGCAACAGGAAGGGCTAATTCCTTTCCATTTTCGCCAGTGTTGGAAGAAAGAGAGCGGGTCTAGGGGAAAGGCTTAGGAGAAGGGTCAACAAATTTTTCTGTAAAGAGCCAGATAATAAGTATTTTAGCCTCTGCAGGCCACATGGTCTCTGTTGCAACAACTCAATCCTGCTGTTGTATGGAAAGCGGCCACAGACAATACATAAACAAATGGGCGTGGCTGTGTTCCAATAAGAGTTTATTTACAAAAACAGGCAACAGACAGAATTTGGCCCACGGGCTACAGTTTGCCAATTACATCGTCATCCAAGTTCAACAATGGGAAAGAATCAACTTTGGGCCTGGTTCTTAATCCACATAATAACAGCAAAGTCAGTTAAGTCATAAATTCCCTGAAACCAATGCTATTTCAGAAGCAGCTATTGAGAGGCCAGAGCTGCCACAGGGACAGAGAGGTGGTAAGGATATGGCCCCTCTGCCCGGGGGCTCTGTGTCAGTCATGGATTAGGTAGGATTTTGTTTGGATACACAAGTGGTACCACACTCTGTATATCATGCAGTCCTGTCTATGAGCATACAGATGGATTTATGTTTATTTGTCTTGGAGACAGGGTCTTGCTATGTTGCCCAGGCTGGCCTTGAACTCCTGGGCTCAAGCTATCTTCCTACCTCAGGCTCCTGCATAGCTGGGACTACTGATATGCACCACTAAACCCAGCTCTAGACTTATATTTTTACCTGCAGCCTTATATTCTAAAGCATGAATACATTGATTTGGTGTATAACCATTTCCTTATTGGTAGATGTTAAGGTTTTTCTCTCCTTCTCTCTCATATATATGTGCAAGTGTGTTTGTCCCAGACTTATTGATGTTCGATTGATGTACCTATTACCAACAAGTCTGAGACCAACACACTTGCACATGCCTTTTTGTGCACATATGTGTTTCTCTAGGGTGGGTACTGAGAGGTGGACCTGCCGGGGTCATAGGGAAAGCACATATAACATGCCCTCAATCATTCCAATGTTCAATGATTATGCCCTTAACTCAGGCTCACCCTCTTACAAATGTGCCTTTGGGGCCGGGAGTGGTGGCTCATGCCTGTAATCCCAGCACTTTGGGAGGCCGGGGCAGGCAGATCACCTGAGGTCAGAAGTTCGGGACCAGCCTGACCAACATGGAGAACCCCATCTCTACTAAAAATACAAAATTAGCCAGGCATGGTGGCGCGTGCCTGTAATCCCAGCAACTTGAGAGTCTGAGGCAGGAGAATCGCTTGAACCCAGAAGGCAGAGGTTGCAGTGAGCTGAGATCGCATCATTGCATACCAGCCTAGGCAGCAAGAGCGAAACTCCGCGTCAAAACACAAAATACAAAAAAAAAAAACCCAAACGTGTCTTTGGTCACATGGGAGACTCAACTGGCAGAACATGGAGGGGCCTATACAAAAACATAGATGAAAAAACTACCCGTTTTGCTTTACTTTAAAATAATCAATTAAGCGGGGGATGGATAGACACTGGTCAAAGGGTACAAAATCACCTCTCAGTTAGACAGGATGAACAAGTTAGAAAGATCTATTGTACAGTCTGGTGACTATAACTAACAAGAATGTACTGTATACTTCAAAATTGCTGGGAGTAGACCTTAAATGTTCTCACTCAAAAAAAAATAATTACGTGAGGTGATGGCTATATTAATTAGCTTGATTGTGGTCATGATTTCACAATGCATATGTATAGCAAAACTTCATGTTACATATTGTAAATACATACAATTTTTGTCAATTATACCTCAATAAAGCTGGAGGAAAAATAATCCATTAAGAAAACTAGCCCGGCACATACACCCACATACTGCAAAGTGGAGAGGGGTTGGAATTGAAGACAGGTACAAGGAGCCCCACCTTGGCCTGTTGCACAGTCCCCGCTCTGGGAGCACTGGCTCTTATTTACCTCTAACGAATCCGGACCCAGGGTCAGCAACAGAAGCAATCCCGGGAGGGGAGCTCTAAGGCAGGTTCTTGGCATTCCTGGAGTGTTTACCGGGATGGTGGGGCCTGTCTGCGAGCTCCAAGGAGTTGGATTTCTGAACTCAAATACCAAGCCAGGCCTGGCACTGGCCAGGTTGAGCCTTCTTTTGTGTCTGCAAACCCTTTTTGTTTGAAGTCGGTGTAACTTTAAGTGGCCTGCCAAGGAGAGCCTGTGAGAAAGCTCCCAGGCCAGGCTGCCTTCCCGAGGGTCCCCAGGGTGTCCTCTGCCTGCCAGAGCCACCTCCCATCTCAACCTGGGTCAAAATCCTCTCTCTCCCAGGACACACCTTTTCTCAGCTAACAGGACAGGGGGCTTCGATGGCTCCTTGCCAAGCTGAAACAGCCTAGTGGACAGGATTGGTTCTTTTGCTCCAGGGCAAGAGGGAGACTGGGAGCTGACTCATGGAGAAAATATCTCTGGGTGCTTGAACCACAGGGGAGGGCCAGCATTTCCTGAGCACCTGGTAAGGCAGGCACTGCACTTAGCATCTCACATACATCATTTCATTTACCCTTCCAGTGATCCTAGGACATAGACATGGTCATCCCCGTTTCACAGATGAAAACGAGGCTGAGAGGCTCTGGATTTAGCTGGTACATGACAGAGCTGGGAGTCCAGCTAGGGTTTTTTTTTTTTTTTTTTTTTTTTGAGATGGAGTCTCGCTCTGTCGCCCAGGCTGGAGTGCAGTGGCGCAATCTCAGCTCACTGCAGCCTCTGCCTCCCAGGTTCAAGCGATTCTCTGTCTCAGCCTCCCGAGTGGCTGGGATTACAGGCGTGCACCGCCATGCCTGGCTAATTTTTGTATTTTTAGTAGAGATGGGGTTTCGTCCTGTTGGCCAGGCTGGTCTCAAACTCCTGGCCTCAAGTGATCCGCCCACTTCAGCCTCCCATAGTGCTGGGATTACAGGTGTGAGCCACCACGCCTGGCCCCAGCTAGGGTTTGTATGATTCCAAAGCCCAAGTTCCTTCTACACCAATAGCTTTCAAAGCAGGACTCACGATGCTCAAGGGCAGTGACATTTATTGTTATTATTTATTTTTATTTTATTTTTATTTTTTTTTATTTTTTTGAGACAGAGTCTCACTCTGTCGCCCAGGCTGGAGTGCAGTGGCGCAATCTCAGCTCACTGCAAGCTCTGCCTCCCAGGTTCATGCCATTCTCCTGCCTCAGCCTCCCGAGTAGCTGGGACTACAGGCGTCCACCACCACACCTGGCTAATTTGTTTGTATTTTTAGTAGAGACGGGGTTTCACCATGTTAGCCAGGATGGTCTCAATCTCCTGACCTCATGATCCACCCGCCTAGGCCTCCCAAAGTGCTGGGATTACAGGCGTGAGCCACTGCGCCTGGCCGACATTTATTATTTTTTAATATGAAATAATTTTAGGCTTATAAAAAGTTGCAGAATGGTACAACAAATTTCTGTGAACTCTTCATTCAGTTTCCCCCAGATATTACTCTCTTACATACCCATCCTACAATGATCAAAACCCGAAAATCGAAATGGGTGCAATACTATTACCTAATCTACAAACCTTATTCAAATCTTGCCAACTGTCCCGCACATGTCTTTGTCTAGATCCAATTCAGAATCTTACACTGCCTTTTGGTCTCACGTCTCCTTAGTCTCCTCCAGTCTATGACAATTCCTCAGTCTCTTTTTGTCTTTAATGACCTTCATAGTCCTAAAGAGTAATGGCCAGTTATTTTCTAGAATGTCTCTCATTTGGGATCATCTCGTATTTCCTCAAAATTAAATTCAGGTTAGCAAGAATCCTGCAGAAGCAAAGTATTCTTCCTGGGCCATCATATCACATATCAGGTGGCACATGATGTCACTATGTCCATTACTGGTGATGTTAATTCTGAACAGTTGGTTCAGGTGGCCCATTACTGGTGATGTTAATTCTGATCAGTTGGTTCAGGTGGCCCATTACTGGTGATGTTAATTCTGATCAGTTGGTTCAGGTGGCATCTTTAGGTTTCTTCACTGTAAGTTATTCTTTTTCCTTCTGTGGTTGCGGGAAGGTACTCTAACTAGCATTATGCAAATATTCTATTTTTCATCATATTTTTACCCCCTAACTTTAGCAGACCTTGTGATTCTTGCCTCCAACTATTACCACGAACTTTTTGTCAAATGGTGATTTTCTATTTTCACCATTCTTTCTTTCATTTCATTTTTTACAATTATTATTTGGAATTCTACTGAAATCAGTGGACAGTGATTCTTAAAACTCTGTGTACACTTGTTTCATCTAATGCATTCACCAAAGTGCAGATTTCTAGGCTCCATCCCAGAGATTTTACTTCATTAAGCCAGGAAAAGGCTAAGAAATGCTTATTTTAAGAAGCATTTTCCGCCGGGCGCGGTGGCTCATGCCTGTAATCCCAACACTTTGGGAGGCCAAGGCAGATGGATCACCTGAGGTCAGGAGTTTGAGACCGGCCTGAACAACATGGTGAAACCCCATCTCTACTAAAAATACAAAATCAGCTGGGTGCGGTGGTGGGCACCCACAATCTCAGCTACTTGGAAGGCTGAGGCAGGAGAATTGCTTGAACCCGGGAGACAGAAGTTACAATGAGCCAAGATTGCGCCACTGCACTCCAGCCTGGGTGACAGAGCAAGACTCTGTCTCAAAAAAAAGAAAAAAAAAAAGTGGCTACACTACACAACAGATTTTCAGTGTAGACAAAACAGCTTTCTATTGGACGAAGACGCCATTTCATAGATACAGAGGAGAAGTCAATGCCTAGCTTCAAAGGACAGGCTGATTATGTAGGGGCTAATACAGCAGGTGAGTTTAAGTTAAAGCCAATGCTCATTTACTATTCTGAAAATCCTAGGGCCCTTAAAAATTTGGCTAAAACCACTCTGCCTGTGCCCTATAAATGGAACAACAAAGCCTGGAGGACAGCAAATCTGTTTACAGCATGGTGTACTTAATATTTTAAGCCCACTGTTGAGACCTACTGCTCAGAAAGAAAAAAAAAAAAAAGATTCCTTTCAAAATATTACTGCTCATTGACAATGCATCTCATCACCCAAGAGCTCTGATGGAGACGTCCAAGGAGATGAATGTTGTTTTCATGCCTGCTAACACAACATCCATTCTGCAGCCCATGGACCAAGGAGTAATTTCTACTTTCAAGCCTTTATTTGTTTTTATTGTTTTTATTGGCTTTATTTAAGAAACACATTTTGTAAGGCTATAGCTGCACAGATGGTGATTCCTCTGATGAATCTTGGCAAAGTAAATTGAAAACCTTCTGAAAAGGATTCACCATTCTAGATGCCATTAAGAAAACTCGTGATTCAGCCGAGCACAGTGGCTGATGCCTGTAATCCCAGCACTTTGGGAGGCCGAGGCGGGTGGATCACCTGAGGTCAGGAGTTCAAGACCATCCTGGCCAATATAGTGAAACCCCTCCTCTACTAAAAATACAAAAAATTAGCCAGGCGTGGTGGCAGTCGCCTGTAATCCCAGCTACTTGGGAGGCCCAGGCAGGAGAATCCCTTGAACCCAGGAGGCAGAGGATGCAGTGAGCCGAGATCGCGCCATTGCACTCCAGTCTGGGCAACAAGAGTGAAACTCCATCTCAAAAAAAAAAAAAAGAAAATTCGTGATTCATGAGAGGAGGTCAAAATATCAACATTAACAGGAGTTTGGAAGTAATTTCAACCCTCATAAATAACATTAAGGAGTTCAAAACTTCAGTGGGGGAAATAATTACAGATGTGGTAAAAACAGCAAAAGAACTAGAAATAGAAGTGGCGCCTGAAGATGTGACTGAATCACTCCAATCTCATGATAAAACCTGAACAGATGACGAGTCGCTTCTTATGGATGACAAAGAAAGTGGTTTCTTGAGATGGACTCTACTCCTGGTGAAGATGCTATGAGCATTGTTGAAATGACAACAAAGGTTTTAGAATATTCCATCAACTTATTTGATATAGCAGCAGCAGGGTTTGAGAGGATCGACTCCAATTAGGAAAAAAGTTCTACTGTGGGTAAAATACTATTATGCAGCTACAGCAAAATCTTTCATGAAAGGAAGAGTGAGTTGATGTGGCAAACTGCACTGCTGTCTTACTTTAAGAAATTACCACCCAGCCTTTAGCAACCACCACCCTGATTAGTCAGTAGCCATCAACAGCGAGGAAAAGCCCTCCAACAGTGACAAGATTATGACTTGCTGAAGGCTCAGGTGATCGTTAGCATTTTTTAGCAATAAAGTATTTTAAAATTAAGATATGTATATGTTTCAGATATAATGCTACTGTACACTTAACAGACTACAGTATAGCGTAAACATAACTTTTATATGCACTGGGAGACCAAAAAATTTGTATGACTTGCTTTATTGAGATACTCCCTTTATTGCAGTGGTCTGGAACTGAACCTATAATATCTGTAAGGTGTGTTCGTGTATCTAGGAATGGAATTGCTGGATCGTATCACAACTCATTTCAGAGGGATTATTTTCTTTTGTTTTTTCTCTTTTTTATTTATTTATTTTTTTGGAGACAGGGTCTTTCTCTGCCAACCAGGCTGGAGTGCAGTAGCACAATCTCAGCTTACTGTAACTCGACCTCCTGGGCTCAAGCGATCCTCCTGCCTGAGCCTCTCTAGTAGCTGAAACTACAAGCACATACCACCGTGCCCAGCTAATTTTCATCTTTTTGGTAGAGACAGGGTTTCGCCATGTTGCCCAGGCTGGTCTTGAACTCCTGGGCTCAAGCAATCCTTCCACCTTGGCCTCCCGAAGTACCGGGATCGTAGGCATGAGCCACCATGCCTGGACTCTTATTTGGGGGGTTTCGGAAGGGATTATTTTCAAAAGTAGCCATATCATTTTACATTCCCACCAGCAGTACATGAGGGTTTCAATTTCTCCATGGCCTTACCAACACTTGTTATTACCTTTCTTTTCAAGTATAGCCATCCTAGTGAATGTAAAGTGGTATCTCATTGTGGTTTTGATTTATAGTTCCCTGATGGCTAATGATTTAGTGCATCTTTTAATGTGCTTACTGGCCATTTGTGTATCTTCTGTGGAAAAACATCCACTGAAGTTCTTTGCCCGTTTCTAAACTGGGTTGTCTTTTGTTGTTGAGTTCTAAGATTTATTACATATTCCTTACACATTCTACACCTTCATCACACGTGATTTACAAATATTTTCCCCCATCCCATGGGTTGTCTTTTCATTTTCTTGATTGTATCTTTGAAGCACAAGTTTTAAATTTTGATAAAGTCCAATTTATGTTTTTTCTTTGATTCCACCTAAGAATTTGATTCAAGTGGTCTATGGACCACTCTGTTGAAATTCTCCAGGGGTTTGCTAATGATGATACGGAAATGACACTTAGAAAATTTAGTAGCATACAGTTGTTTATCACATTACCTTACTTTTTTTAAGTCTCTGATGGATCTCTAGTTATGTCTCTTTTTCATTCCTAATGTTATTCATTTGTGCCTCCTCTTTTTCTTGACCAATCTTTCCAGATATTTGTTTATTTTATTAGTCCTTCCAAACAATCAACTTTTGGCTTGGGTTGATCTTCTCTGCTGAATATTTGTTTTCTGGCTCATTGACTTCTGCTCTTATTTTTATCTCTCCTTCCCTGCCCCCATCTCCTTTTCTGGCTTATTCTATTAATTTTTTTCTAACTTCTTAAATTAGATACTTAGCTCATTAATTTTCAGCCTTTCTCATGGTTCTGGTATTCTGTGAAACACACTCCTCTCTTTAGCATCCCATCTTTCTTCCATGAATTAATCACCCCTTGGCAGAAGGATAAGGAGAAATGGAGGCAGGCGTGAAGCTGGGTCGCCTGCCCGTTTCTGTAGGAAGCTGCCTATGGAAATGCTCTTCCACAGAGCTGAGAGCTCCCGGGGGTGGTGTTGGCATATCCCACAGCCAAACCAAGCCATTTGGGGTCATATTTCATGACGGGAGGTGGCACCCCATGTCAGTGAGTCGCTGTGGCCTCACCATCCTTTCCTTGCAGACTGATTTCTATTTCAGCAAATCCCCTTTGCCAGGCCAAAAGGCAATGAGGCAGATGCTCATGTACAGACGGGAGTGAGCCAAAGCAATAAACTCAGCCCCAGCTGTCGGCTCAAACTGCTCCAGCTTCAGGCTAGGAATCATTCTGGCCTCTTCTTTGCTTCTAATCCTATTCCCAGTTAATTCCATCCCTGGCAGCACTTAGTAGTGAACCCCAAAACCACCATCCTAGAGTGTGAGCACGGGAAAGAACTGAGAGGCCAACTTCCCCTGTGTACCAAGGAGGAGTCCGAGGCCGGGGTCATAATCCATTCAAGTTAATGACAGTGCATTTTTTTCCTGTATCTGTACAAATTAACCTAGCTTTGTGTATAATGTACTCTGCTCTGAATTCTACTTTTCGCATACTGTTTTGTGACCCCCCGCTTTTACTCTGTGCTAATTTGCCTTATGTACTTTTGCACATGTTAATATTTAAGAAGTTGAATGACTTTGTCACTTAATCTGTGGAAGATCGAGTTACATGTTAAAGACTTCCATGAATATTTTTTTTTGCCCCAAGCAGGCAAAAAGGAAAACAAGAATATAGAGTATCTGGAGAATAAAATCCCAATTAGATTGAGTCAATAAATATAAACATTGTGCCCTACAAACAGGATTCCTCTTCAATTCCTGCGGAACACTGACAAGAGGTGATCTTACATACACATGAGATTATTCTAAAAAACAAACAAAAACCAAACTAAAAAACATGCCAGAGGCTGGGGTGTGGTGGCTCATGTCTATAATGCCTGCACTTTGGGAGGCTGAGGCAGGTGGGATCACCTGAGGTCAGGAGTTCGAGACCAGCCTGGCCAACACGGTGAAACCCCGTCTCTACTAAAAATACAAAAACTAGCCAGGCATGGTGGCACACACCTGTAGTCCCAGCTATTTGGGAGGCTGAGGCAGGAGAATAGCTTGAACTTGGGAGGCGGAGGTTGCAGTGAGCCGAGATCGCGCCATTGCACTCCAGCCTGGGCCGCAGAGTGAGACTCCGCCCCAAAAAGGAAAAAAAAAAAGTACCGGAAACAGCAAAAAAAATTGGACATTTAAAAAAATATTTTAAAGGATATAACCTCCTGGAGATGAAAACCCAATTCATAAATAACTCCAGGAACAAAAGGAATATCAAAACTACAATGACACAGTCATTGTAAAAACAGTGACAATGAGAGCAGCACAAATCAAAACCTATGGGAAGTGGTCAACGCTACTCTAGAGAGGAAAAGTCATTAACTTAGTTTTAATGCTCAACAGGAATAAGAAAATAATGTTAGTTGAACTGAGCATTCAACTCAAAAAATTAGGATAACCACAGAGAAGCCTAGGTAAGAAATTAATAAAGATAAAAAAATTAAGAGAATTACAAGATGATGCCAGGTGCAGTGGTTCACGCCTGTAATCCCAGCACTTTCAGAAGCCGAGGCGGGTGGATCACCTGAGGTCCGGAGTTTGAGACCAGCCTGACCAACATGGTGAAACCCCGTCTCTACTAAAAACACAAAATTAGCCAGGC
Source organism: Homo sapiens (assembly GCF_000001405.40). NCBI lineage: Eukaryota > Metazoa > Chordata > Mammalia > Primates > Hominidae > Homo > Homo sapiens. The sequence goes on along the minus strand of NC_000017.11, from coordinate 9,043,737 downwards.
GTGGTGACACATGCCTGTAATCCCAGCTACTCAGGAGGCTGAGGCAGCAGAAAGAATTGCTTGAACCCGGGAGGTGGAGGTTGTGGTGAGCCAAGATCGCGCCATTGCATTCCAGCCTGGGCAACAAGAGGGAAACTCCATCTCAACCAAAAAAAAAAAAGAGAGAGATTAGAGAGACAATTAGAAGATGATAAAAAAGCATTTAAAAATAAGCAGCAGTCTGGAATAGTGGATAAAAGAACCCGCTTTGAAAACTGACAGATCCTTTTTAATTCCGGCCCTGGGTTTTGCAGCTCTGTGACTCTGGGCAAGCTAAATTTCTTAACTACTCAACTATATGTAAAATGGGAATAATTTTGCTCAATTCACAGTGTTATAGATTTTTTAAATTAGAAAGTGCATCCAAAATATTTAGCATAGGGTCTAGGACACAGTGAGTGTTCATTAAATATGATCAAATGTTATTATTATCACTTTCACAAATGTACAAAAAGCAAACAAACCTAGGCAAAGAGAGAGTGAGAAAAAATGTTTGCTATTAGCAATTAGAAAGGTGATATAGCCATATATGAACATTAAAAAATATTTTAGTGATTATTATATAGAATCCTATGCTTGAAAAATGAAAATCTGGGTAAATGATTTTTAAAAAAAAACAAATTACCAGATTTGACTCAAAAAGCAGTTGAAAAATTTCTGAATAAACACATAAGTATGGAAGAAATTGAAATGGTTGTCAAATAACTACTTTCAAAAATGACACAGGGCTCAGATGGGCTAATTCTAACAAACCTTCAAGGACCAGCTATTTCTCATGTTACTTAAACTATTCCAGAGCATAAAATAGAATGGAAACTTCCCACTTCATTTTATAAGGTTAAAACAGCCTTGATACAAAAGGCAATATAAAGTGACAAAAGGTCAGACAAATCTCACTTTTTTTTTTTTTTTGAGATGGAGTCTCGCACTATCGCCCAGTCTGGAGTGCAGTGGCGCAATCTCGGCTCACTGCAACCTCTGCCTCCTGGGTTCAAGTGATTCTTCTGCCTCAGCCTCCTGAGTAGCTGGGACTGCAGGAGCACGCCACCACACCCAGCTAATTTTTGTATTTTTAGTGGAGACGGGGTTTCACCATGTTGGTCAGGCTGGTCTTGAATTCCTGACCTCATGATCTGCCCGCCTCGGCCTCCCAAAGTGGTGGGATTACAGGCGTGAGCCACCGCGCCAGCCTCACAGTTTTTTTTTTTTTAAGGGACAGAGTCTCACTATGTTGTGGAGTACAGTGGCTATTCACAGGTGCAGTCATAGCGCATTATAGCCTCAAACCCCTCGCTCGTGCAATCTTCCTGCCTCAGCCTCTCGAGAACTGAGACTAGAGAGGCGCGCCATCACACCCAGCTCAAATCTCACTTTTGAATATAGGCATAAAAATCTAAAATAAAATGTTAGTAAAGAATAACACATCACCAAATAGATACATTCCAAGAATGCTGGAATATTTCAAACTTAGGAAATCACACAAGCACAACAAGATACCCCTTCACACCCACCAGAATGGCTATAATCAAAATGATAGATAGTAAGTGTTTTCAAGGGTATGGAGAAACTAGGATCCCCATATGTTGCTGGTGGGTTCTAGGGTCCTAGGAACAGTATAACTGCCTGAAAACCAATCTGGCATTCCTCAAAAAGTTAAACACAGTTAGTTGTCTTTTTTTTTTTTTTCTTTTTGACAGAGTCCCACTCTGTCGCCCAGGCTGGAGTGCAATGGCCCAATCTCAGCTCACAGCAACCTCCACCTCCCGGATTCAAGCAATTCTCATGCCTCAGCCTCCCGAGTGGCTGGGACTACAGATGTGTACCACCACACCTGGCTAATTTTTATATTTTTAGTAGAGACGAAGTTTCACCACGTTGGCCAGGCTGGTCTCGAACTCCTGACCTCCAGTGATCCACCCGCCTCCGCCTCCCAAAGTGCTGAGATTACAGGCATGAGCCACCGCACCTGGATGAGATAGTTGTCTTATAACCCAACAATTCCACTGCTAGGTAGATACCCCAGAGAAAGCAGATGTCCACACAAAAACCTGTAAACCAATGCTCATAGCAGCATTATTCATAAGAGCCAAAAAATGGACACAACTCAAATGTCCATCAACTGATGAATGAATCAAAATTTGATATGTTTACATAATGGAATTCAGCCATTAAAAGGAAATGAAGTACTGCTATAACATGGATGAACCATGAAAACATTATGCTAATTGAAAGACGTCAGTCACAAAAGGCCATATGTTACGTGATTCTATTTATATGAAATGTCCAGAATAGGCAAATCTGTAAAGATCAAAAGCCTACTTAGGGTGTGGGTGCAGATCAGGGTGAAGGATGGAAAGTGACTGCTAATTCGTAGAAAGCTCCTTTTGGGGATGACAAAAATGTTATAGGATTAGTTTCAGTTATGGTTGTACCAATCGACGAACATACTAAAAACCACTTTCCATGGGTGAATTGTATGACATGTGAATTATACCTCAGAAATCAATTAAAGAAATGCATTACATTAATAGTCAAAGCAGAAAAATGATATGATCATTTTGATTAATATCTAAAGGATTAACATTCTACATATTCTTGAATATTTTTTAAAAAAAGAGCACAGTTTGGGAGTCTCAGGCAGGAGGATCACTTGAACCCAGGAGTTTAAGATCAGCTTGGGCAACACAGCAAGACCTCATCTCTACAAAAATTTCTTTAAAAAATTAGCTGGGCATGGTGCACACCCATAGTCTCAGCTACTCAAGAGTGTGAGGTAGGAGGATTGCTTTAGCCCAGGAGGTTGAGGCTGCAATGAGCTATGATTGATCATGCTACTGCACTCCAGCCTGGGCAACCAATCAAGACCTTATCTCTCCAACAAAAAAACAAACAAAAAAAAAAGTAAGAAAGAGCAACCCTCCCAGTAAGTCAGGAATAGAGGTCTCTCCATTGAGTACAATAAAGAACATCCATATGAAACTAGCAACAAACAACATATTTAACAATGAAACTCTAGAAATGTGCTCACTTAAATCAGTAGTAATACAAGAGTACATTACCATTATTATATATACCATTACTTTGACATTCTATCCAATGCAGTAAGACAAGAAAAATAAATAGTACAAGTATTGGAAAAGAAGGGCTAAAATATTCATATATATAGTTGAAGTCCAGAGAAACTGAAACACTGTGAGAACGAATTAAAAAGAGTTTAGTAAAGCTGAAGGTTGCAAAATACATAAAAATGTATATATAGTTCATAGCTTTTCTATACATTGTAATACCCACTTAGAAAATAAAATGAGAAGGAAAAAATCCCTTTCATAATAGTAATCAAAATTATAAATACATAGAAGTAAACTCTTCTGAAAAAATGTGTGATGCTAATATAAAGAAATTTATGAACCTTACTGAATAGCATAAAAGAAGACATAAATAAATGTAGATGTTCTATACTTCCAAATTGTAAAACTTAAAATTGGAAGGGTATCTACCACACATCTATTGGAATGGCTAAAATTTCTAAAAGATTGGCCATATCAAATGCTGATGAGGAAATGGACTGGAGAAACTAGAACTCTCATACACTGCAGATATAGATGTAAAGTGGTACTACCATTTTGGAAAATAGTTTGACAGTTTATTAAAAGTTAGACCTACACCTACTGTATCATCCAGCCAATCCACTCTTAGGTATTTGCCCAAGAGAGATGAAAGTGTATGTCCATGCAAAGACTTCTAAAAGAATGTTCATAGCTGCTTTACCTGTAATAGCCAAAAACTAGAAACAAGCTAAATGCCCATCAGCAGGTGAATGGAAAAATTGTGGTATAGCAATACAATGAATACCCCCCCAGAAATAAAAAGGATTGAACTATTAATGCACTTAACATGATGGATGAATAAATAATCCAACTAAGCATGGAAGGTGAAAGAAACCAGACCACACGTACCGTATGATTCCATTTACACAAAACTCTAGAAAAGGCAAACAGATATACAATGACAGAAGGCACCATGGTGGAAAGGGGCAGGAGGGATTACCAAGACAGCAGGAACATTTTGGGCTGATGGATATGTTATTTATCTTGATTGTGGTGATGGTTTCACAGGTGTATACATAAGTCAAACTTACCAAGTTATACTTTTTATATATGTGCAATTTACTGAACAATTATATCTCAATAAATCTGTAAAAAAAAATCATCTGGAAGAATCAAAGAGAAACACATAAGTACAATTCATGATTTTGACCAGACTTAAAACCTACTTTTCTGATATCCTAAAAGCCCTATTGGGTACATTTAAATAATCAAATCATTACATACAAGAGACATGTTGATACAGTTACAATGTTTTCAACTATCACCAAGTTCATTTTAACAACACTGCTGTCAAATTACTAATGGCATTTGTAATGAAACTTGACAAACTCATCTAAAGCCAATAAATAAATATATAAAGAAACAAGCAAGCAAGAATAGCAATGAGAATAAGTGAAAATGAACAGATGAATAATGAGTGAATACTGAACCTACCAGATACTGAAATATCCAAACAGATAGAAAGTGGCAGGAAAACAGATTTGTGAAACAAAATGGAAAAATCCAGAGAACAGATCCAAGTTTATATAATACTTAAGCATTTAATAAATATGGCATCTCAAATCAGTGACAAAAAATGATGTTTCTCAATAGTTGTCACTGAATAACTGGCTAAATATTTGATGAAAAAATGGATATCCTTACCTCACACCATATGTCACGATTAATTCCAGATGTGTGAAAGATTAAAATATATTACTTCGAGTTCTGGCAACAAGGTGGACTGAGGTAATGCAGAACCCCTACCACTGCAAGCATCTAGAAATACTAGATGAAATGTAAGTTTAAAAAAATTTAATGAATAGCAGATCTCATAAGAAATAAAAGGAAATCCCCAGGTGCTAGAGGAAAGAAAAATCTGAAAGCCAAAGTGTTAAGAGAAACCCTGAGACCCCAGTGATCATGAGGTGTGTGGGAGGAGGGAGGGAACAGCAGGGAGGATAGAGAAAGGGGAAAGACTGACTGATTATTAGACCTGGAAACAGGCTTTAATGCCTTGAGCTTAGGATTTAGCACCCACACACAGACCGGAGATAAGGCCTCAGGTCTTGCAAGCCCAGGAGTTGCAAATGGGACCCCTGCTTTCTTTATCAAATATTTAATAAGCACCTACTTATGCCAGGCCCCCTGTGAATAAAAGAGAATTCCTGACCTTATGTACCTTAACATTCCAACAAGTGATAGAAAGGAACAAATGGGAGGAGGGGAAAACAATTAAGAACATAATAAATAAGTAAATTAAATAGTGTCTTAGGTGGTATGAGTGTTATGGGGAAAAGGAGTTAGTAGGGGAGGATAAGGGTGATCTCAGGTGTGTGTGTGTGTGGAGAGAGAGAAAGAGAGGAGAAGACAGAGAAAGAGAGAGAGACACAGAGAGAGAGAGTCCGATAGACACAAATAGGGGAGCTGTTTGCAGTATAAATAGAATAGTCCGGGTAAGCCTCACAGAAGTGATATTTGACCAAAGACTTGAAGGAACCTAGGGAGTCATTTATTTGCATATTTGGGCCTATCTCAAGCCCAGACTCAGCTGCTGTACCAGGGCTATAAGCTGTGTACCCACTAACAGCAAGGAGGCCTGGGAGCTGGAACAGACTGAGTGAGCAGCAAAGTGCCAGGAGATGAGAATAGAGAGGAAGCAGGGGCCAGACCACACAGGGCTTTGCAACCGTTGTAAGTGTTCTGGGTGTTCCTCTGAGTGAACAGGGAACTAACACACAGGCAGTTACCTCTGGCTGCTGTGTTAAGAAGAGACCAGGGAGGCTGAGGGACAAAGATAAAGGAAGGGAGACCAGCTAGGAAACTGCAGCTGTAATCGCAGTAGCAGAAAAACCTGGACCTTCCAAATGCCCCCTGGGTCAAAAGGGGACGAAGAAGCTTTGTCCATCGGGCTAAGGTGACAGCAAAAATTTGTCTCTACCTAGAGTTCTGGGTAAAGGCAGAAAAAGTCCTCAGTGAGGGAGAAAAATAAACCCCAGGCCTGGGAAGGTTTAGAGGCCAAGTACATACTCCTCATTTGATATAATAATTTTCAAGATGATTAATTAATGGAAAATTTGGTCCTAGTCCAGTGATACCTCTAGAATGTCTGGCAGAATTAATGCAAAATCATATGGATAGGGGCATTTCCATAACTAACAGCAGTGGGATTTCCACGAAATCCCAAATAAAGATAAGCTCACAGTCAGAAAGTACAAAACACATAAGGAAATCATTCACCATGAGCAAAGGTCAGCAGACAAAATAAGCGAGAGGATCAGTATCCCCAAGAAGTTGAGATCATCCATCAAACTAACAAAGACTATAGGAAAAGTTATGTTTAAGACTATTTACAAGGAAATAAGGCTGAGCAAAAGAAACCAGATATTGAAGAGAACATACAGTATGATTTCAATTACATAAAGTTCAAAAATAGGCAAATTAAATCTATTGTGTTGGAAGTCAAAATGGTGGTTACCCTGGGGGGTTGGGAGGAGCCTTCTGGAAATACTGTATTTCTTCATGTTAGTGGTAGACACAGAGGTGAGCTCACTTTGTGAAAATTCATACACCTGAACACTCATGATTTAAAGAGAGAAGACCAGCTAGCGAACACACTGGAAGGCAAAGAGGGAGAGTCCCATGTCCCCACCCCTGCAAGTGGAAGAGCTGGAGAGTGGGAGGTGGGGAAATTGTCAGTAGGGTTGGAGGGTAGGCCCAAGTGAGGTCCTCCAGTTAGAGCCTGAGCAGTCCTTTGAGGGAACCCCAGTGGAGGGGTAGGGTTGGAAAATGTATCATTCAAGTTATAGAGCTGCTTCTGGTTGAGCAGGGAATGGGGTGAGTTCGTTAAGGAAGACTGAAGAAGTCCTCAGGAAGGCAGTATATTCCACTAGACCTACAGAATATCATTACATGACCTTTGTGACCCAACCCCTCGTTTTACAGGAGAGAACTGAGGCCCAGAGAAGTAAAGACACTTGTACAAAGTCACCTTTGCTTCCCAGTATTACTAGTTTTCCTGTCAGGGAGTATGCAGATTAAAGATAAGTGGCAGGCCAAGCAGGTGACTCATGCCTGTAATCTAAGCACTCTGAGAGGCTGAGGCAGGAGGATTGCTTGAACCCAGAAGTTCAAGGCTGCAGTGAGACGTGATTGCACCACTGTGCTCTAGACTGGATGACAGAGCGAGACCCTGTCTCTACAAAAAAAAAAAAAAAAAAAAAAAAAAAGATAAGAGACGACTTGGCCCAGTGGTGAAAAGCAAGCCTCCAGAGCTGCACTGCCTGGATTCCAATTCCAGTTCTGCCACCTGCTAGCTGTGTGACCTCAGGCACCTTAACTAACCTCCATGTGCCTCAGTTTCTTTGCCTGTAAAACTGTATACAGATATAAATTTGTACAACCACTTTCCACTAAATAGAGAGTTTAACCACTGTCTATTAAAGCTGAACAGGCCAGCCATGGTGGCTCACGCCTGTAATCCCAGCACCCTGGGAGTCTGAGAAGGAAGGATCCCTTGAGCCCAAGAATTCAAGACCAGCCTGGGTAACATAGTGAGACCCCCGTCTCTACAAATAATTTTTTCTTTTTTGAGATAGAGCCTTGCTCTATTGCTCAGGCTGGAGTGCAGTGGCACCATCTTGGCTCACTGCAACCTCCGCCTCCCAGGTTCAGGCAATTCTCATGCCTCAGCTTCCCAAGTAGCTAGGATTACAGGCGTGCACCACCATACCCGGCTAATTTTTGTATTTTTAGTAGAGATGGGGTTTCAATATGTTGGCCAGGCTGGTTTTGAACTCCTGACCTCAAGTGATCCACCTGCCTCAGCCTCCCAAAGTGCTGGGATGATAGGCATGATCCACCATGCCCAACCCTCTACAAATAATTTTTTTTAAATACCCAAGTGCGGTGATGTGCACCTGTGATCCCAGCTACTCAGGAGGCTGAAGCAGGAGGATCGCCTGAGCTCAGAAAGCTGGATGACAGGAGGCTGGGTGACAGAGACCTTGTCTCAAAAAATGTTAAAAATAAAAGTGAAATTGAACAGATGCCCAAACCCTAGGACCCAGCAATTCCCCTTCTTGATACACACCCAGCAGAAGTGCATTCAGATGTGCATCAAAAGACATGGACAAGTATGGTCACAGCAGTGCTACTGTTAATAGCCAAAACCTGGGAACAGCCCAAATGCCTGCCGTAAGTGGAGTGGAGAAATACCCTGTGATACATTTATATCACACAATACTGGCCAGCAATGGAAACTAAGAAACTACTACTATACATGGATGAAGACCACAAATGTAACATGGAGCAAAAGAAGCCAGAATATGATTCCATTTATACCAAGTTCAAAAATAATCAAAACCCGTCTGGGCACGGTGGCTCATGCCTGTAATCCCAGCACTTTGGGAGGCTGAGGCGGGCGGATCACAAGGTCAGGAGATCGAGACCATCCTGGCTAACACAGTGAAACCCCGTCTCTACTAAAAATACAAAAAATTAGCCGGGTGTGGTGGCGGGCGCCTGTAGTCCCAGCTACTCGGGAGACTGAGGCAGGAGAATGGCATGAACCTGGGAGGCGGAGCTTGCAGCGAGCCGCGATCACGCCACTGCACTCCAGCCTGGGCGACAGAGCGAAACTCCGTCTCAAAAAATAACAAATAAATAAAAAATAAACAAAAATAATCAAAACCCATGTATGGTGGGTAGGGGGCGTGGTAACTGGGTGGACGCACAGGTCAGCTTCTGGGTTGCTGGTATGTTCTTGATGCGGGTGCTGGTTATACAAGCGTGTGCATATCATGAATAGTCTTTGCACTGGACACATAATTCATGGGATTTTCTCTACATGTGTTACACTACAATAAAGAAGTTTACTTAAGAATAACAAGGCCAGGCGCAGTGGCTCACCCCTGTAATCCCAGCACTTTGGGAGGCTGAGGTGGGTGGATCACCTGAGGTCAAGAGTTCGAGACCAGCCTGGCCAGCATGGTGAAACCCCGTCTCCACTAAAAATACAAAAATTAGCTGGTCTTGGTGGTGCACGCCTGTAATCTCAGCTACTCGGGAGGCTGAGGTAGGAGAATATCTTGAATCTGAGAGGCGGAGGCTGTAGTGAGCTGAGATCGTACCACTGCACTCCAGCCTGGGTGACAGAGCAAGACTCTATCTTAAAAAAAAAGAAAAAGAAAAAAAAAAAGAATAACAAGCCCTGATAGGGCCGCTATGAGGATTAAATGAGGTAATACTTATAAAGGGCTTAGAACAGTACATGGTGATAATAAAGGCTATAGAAATGTGTGCTGATAAAATCCCAAGGTCTAGGATCAGAACCCTACCTCTGGGTCTCCTTCCTGTACCCCTCCTCTGAGCCCTCTTTCAAGGCAGAACACAGGGCTCCTCACACTCCCCACCCTATCCAATCTATCAAGGTGGTCTTGAGCTGGGCCCCCAGGACACCAAGGCATCAAAGGCACAGACAGCTTAATTTACCCAAGTCCACACTCCTGGTGGAACTGGAATTTAAACCCAGCCAGTCTGAAGTCAAAGACGGGTGTTCTCTCACCATTGTCCCTAATACATGTATCTTGGTATTTCACACTTTAGTAGATAGAATGTTGTGCTCTCTGATCTTGACTTAAAACTAAGTAACTAAGTACTTTCTTTCTTTTCTTTTTCTTTTTTTTTTTTTTTTTGAGACAGAGTTTCGCTCTTGTTGCCCAGGCTGGAATGCAATGGTGTGATCTCTGCTCACTGCAACCTCCGCCTCCCAGATTCAAGTAATTCTCCTGCCTCAGCCTCCCAAGTAGCTGGGATTACAGGCACGTGCCACCACGCCCGGCTAATTTTGTATTTTTAGTAGAGACGGGGTTTCTCCATGTTGGTCTGGCTGGTCTCGAACTCCCAACCTCAGGTGATCCGCCTGCCTCGGCCTCCCGAAGTGCTGGGATTACAGGCGTGAGCCACCATGCCCAGCCAACTAAGTACTTTCTTTTTTATTTTTGTAGAGACGGCAGTCTCGCTATGCTGCCCAGTCTGATCTCAAACTCCCAGGCTCAAGCAATCCTCCCGTCTCAGCCTCCCAAAGTGCTGGGATTACTGGTGTGAGCTGCTGTGCCTGGCCAGAACTAAGTACTTTCTACAGATCAGGAAAATCGCAACTTGATTCTCACTTACATATGCCTCACTTCTTCTGCAGACATCTTCTATTAAAACAAACAAACAAACAAACAACCTCTCTACCCCTGGTTCAAACAATAAACTGAGGTAAGAAATAGGACTGTTCAGCCCCATTCTTCTCTAGCATTTCTGGGTACCAGGATGGCAAGTCTGCCCAAAAACATGGTTTAAAAAGGATTGGGCCGGGCACGGTGGCTCACACCTATAATCCCAGCACTTTTGGAGGCCAAGGAGGGTGGATCACCTAAGGTCAGGAGTTCGAGACGAGCCTGGCCAACATGGTGAAACCCCATCTCTACTAAAAATATAAAAACTAGCTGGGCGTGATGGTGGGTGCCTGTAATCCCAGCTACTCAGGAGGCTGAGACAGAAGAATCACTTGAACCCAGGAAACAGAGGTTGCAGTGAGCTGACACGGTGCCATTGCACTCCAGCCTCGATGACAGAGTGAGATTCTGTCAAAAAAAAAAAAAAAAGGATTGATTTCTGTGGATTGGAGCAAGAAGCAGTTTCCTTCCTCATGGCAGCTCAGAAGGCCAAGCACTTTCTCACCGTGAATTCTCTCCCGGTTCTGAGCCATAGAGTGAAACAGGGCTGGGTGTCGGAATAAAGAGTTGGCTGAGATCGACCTGCCCACCTCTGAGGTCTGGCTTCGGGGAGAGGAAAACGAGCTGGCCAAAGGGCTGAGGGTAGGGGCTGGGGGGGCCGTGTCCAACAGCTCTGCCCTGGGGCCGCCCAACCCAAAGGTACTTTCACGTTTCAGATGCCAAATTCTGTATCTGTAAACACAATGTGTTTTCTTTTTCATGCTGGGATTGGAACTATTCTTGTTCGGCACTTTCTGCACCAGCCCAAACGTAAGCAGAGCACTGAGGGCAGTGGTTTGTGACGGAGATGAGTCCTCGTCCCTCAATACCACACAGATGTGGTTCTGAGTGGAAGGAACGACCTTCACGTGGGAGAAGCCCCAGGAAGCCTCAGGCACCAGGGTCCTGGCCCAGGTTGGGGCATAATTTCTTTTGAGTGTAGGGACAGTGATAAGCTTTTGTTTCAAAATCCAAGGCAGTTCTGGAGGACCTGCCCAGAAACGTCGGGGCGGACATTCCTTGGGGGACCACTCTTTTCAGGGAACCATGGTCTCTCAAATTCTTGGCATGGGAGAAAACAAATACACTACAACAGAACCAATGCAGCAGGCAAATGTGATGTGGACTAAAATCCAATCCTTTCGTGGTACAGGAGCCAAATCCAAAATGCTCTTCCTCTCAAGACCCTCGGCCCCTCCCTGCACCCCGGACACTCAGCAAAGTGCCTCACTGGGGGCGCCTATCCCTGTTCAGGGTTAGTGCAAGTGGACACGTCTGCACCTTCTCACGTGCACAGCCTCCTTGATGGAAACATATTTCACCTGCAGGGAGGGCATCCACTTTACATTTCTTTTCTTTTTTTTTTTTATCTTCTTTTTTTGTTTGTTTTTGAGACACCATCTCTATCACCCAGGCTGGAGTGCAGTGGCACGATCTCGACTCATTGCAATCTCGGCCTCCCGGGTTCAAGAGATTCTCCTGCCTCAACCTCTGAGTAGTTAGGATTACAGGTGTGGGCCACCATGCCAGGCTAGTTTTTTTTGTTTGTTTGTTTTTGTATTTTTAGTAGAGATGAGGTTTCACCATGTTGGCCAGGCTGGTCTCGAACTCCCGACCTCAAATAATCTGCCTGCCTCAACCTCCCAAAGTGCTAGGATTACAGGTGTGAGCCACCGCACCTGGTCTACTTTACATTTCTTTACATGCCCAGACCAAACAGAGCCACCTGAACAGTAAATGCTCCAGAAATGTCCATGTATACAAAGTACTTCTCTGTCTGCAGGTTGGGGAAGGGGAAGGTCTTCAGAAGGGGACCAAAAATGGCAGATAGTTTTCATCTCATGGGCTAATTCTGCCTAAGGAGTTATATTGAGGAGTCTAATATTATAAGATCATTTCTCGACTTAGGAGGAAAGCATGCTGCCGTTGATTGCCAATGTCTGCCCTGGTTTTAGAATGCGGGAGTGGTGGTACATTTATTTGCTGGGTACTCACCACGGCCGCCCCAAAGCAGAAACAGACGAAATCAGAAGCCCTGACAATGGCAATCAAGCAGGCAGGAAGTGTCCCTCACTTGGGGACTTCAAATATGGAATGCAGCACAGCATACAGGCCCTCAGGAAACTCAGAGATCTACCTCATTTCCTTACATAGGACTCAGTTATTTAAAGCCAGCCCCTTTAGAGGTCCCTGTAGTCCTACAGATTGTCTCAATTAAGTGTGGAGTCTCTGGGATGTGTGAAAATTGGACACAACAACCAATAATCTCTCATCTTCAGGCAGAAAAAGACACGGGAAAAATCTAGAAAATCTAGCAATAGCACCAGCCAGGAGGGGGCACAGATGGGTTCCCAACTAAAATATGACCACGTGTGCAGCGAGCTGAGACCTTACACAGGCCAATTCCTGAATCCTCCAGGGAGACAGACTTCTAGCACCTTCCTCAGCAAGGCACTAGCTGAGTTGAGAAGTGAACTGGAGTGTTACTTTCTGCTTTTAAAGTTCTCACCCAACAAATTTACTTGAACCCTTTAAATAATCCGGAGGTCTACCACACTTACAGAACCATCTTTCTTTTCTTTCTTTTTTTTTTCTTTTCTTTTTTTTCTGAGTCTTGCTCTGTCACCCAGGCTGGAGTGCAGTGGCGTGATCTTGGCTCACTGCAACCTCTGCCTCTCGGGTTCAAGCAATTCTCCTGCCTCAGCCTCCCAAGTAGCTGGGATTACAGGCACGTGCCACCACGCCTGACTAATTTTTGTATTTTTAGTAGAGAAGGGGTTTCACTGTGTTGGCCAGACTGGTTTCGAACTCCTGACCTCGTGATCCCCCTGCCTCAGCCTCCCAAAGTGCTGGGATTACAGGCGTGAGCCACTGCGTCCAGCCACAGAATCATCTTTCTTCTAGGTCTTCTTCACATGCACCAATGCACTGCAGTGTGAATTCATTTCACCCTAACTGTAGTTAGTACACTAATCCCAATGACAGAAGGTCCAGGGATTGCTGGGGGTGGTCCTGACACAGGCAAGAGCGGAGCACAGCTTTCCATTCCTTGGCGGTACTCCTGAACCATAGGTACCCCTTTCTCCTCGGAGAGTATCTTCCTTTGTGCTCTGAGTGCCAGCAGCTGCCTCTGATAGAACTGTGCTTGGGGCAGGAACTTAAGCTCTGGGAGAAAAAGAAAAGGGTCTGATGGGAGACATTCTGTATCTCATCAATCACATGGCCACAGTCCCTTCTCTCCATCAGAGGGGAGAACTGGCACAAAATAATGTATTTGGGGCTGAATACACACCTAGCCAAGGCCTTTTGATGTGGGGGGAAATTCACATAAATTATGTAACTTTTTCTTTTTTTTTTGAGACGGAGTTTCGCTCTGTTGCCAGGCTAGAGTGCAGTGGGGCAATCTCAGCTCATCACAACCTCCGAGTCCCTGGTTCAAGCAATTCTCCTGCCTCGGCCTCCCAAGTAGCTGGGATTACAGGCACACGCCACCACGCCCAGCTAATTTTTGTATTTTTAGTAGACACGGGGTTTCACCATGTTGGCCAGGATGGTCTCCATCTCCTGACCTCATGATCTGCCCGCCTCAACCTCCCAAAGTGCTGGGATTACAGGCGTGAGCCACCGCGCCCGGCCAATGATATAACTTTTAAAACGCAAATTAAAATCTACTTCTTAGTTTACAATAGAAATCCATTTTTGGAGTAAGGAGACAGGAATGCAATACTGAGCTCACTAAGTTGTGCTACGCAAGTCAAACCTCATGAGAGCAGATATCTTTGAGGTGAACGTCTGTATCTACAGGACTGGCCCAGGCAGCTCACTTCTTTCAAGTACTATTCAGAACAACCGTCCCTCCGAGTTGGCTATAATAGGACACGGCTTTTATGTGATCAGTCTTCCAAGCAAACGCTCCTGATACCCCCTGCTCTCTCTGCATGCAACAGTGTCACAGAATAAGCCGAGACGTGCCCTGCAGACTTATCCACACTTAGTCCCGTTTGTGTAAAAGCTGCCCTTTGATGGCCAGGACATCTGTCTTTGAAAAGCTTCCGTTCCTTGTGGCAATCTGATTAATTGAAACAAAGCACATATAAAGCACCTAGGACAATGCCTGGCACTCAATAGGAGTTTGTGGTCTGTCTTCAGGACGCAACCCCCCAACCACCATGGACGGACATTTTAAACTCCACAGCTCCCAGGCCACCCAGACCAACACCATGCCTTCTGAGCCTGCAGAGACCACAAGGGCTTCCAGACAACAGGCAAAATGCTGTGGGCCTGCTCTACAAGTATTAGGCTTAAGTCTTGAGCATTTCAAAAGCCCTCCGAGACCTCCCGTCTCCCTATAATGAAAGGCACTACAGAAACCCAAGGTATGATTAACACCTTCTGAAAGGATGAAAAAAAAAATATTGGCTCACAAAATATCCGTATTTGTGCATCCACAGATAAGGCTGTTTTATAATCCAGTTCCCTAGAGAGCCATTTATTTTGGTAAAGGCAGTGTGCATTGCAGACACCGTAGAAGCCATCAAGATAACATGAGTAACAATCCAGTGGACATTTGAAGTGTAAACATGAAAGTCTATTAAGAATACAATGTTGGTTTAATCCCAAGACAAAAAATTTACTTAATGAAAAGCACAACTCATCTCAAGAAGGAAATATCGACACCAGCTGTGAGCAGAAAACGAGGGGATTCCTTCCAGGGAACATCTGAATTTCAACCCACTGCCTTTCCAATATTTACTCTGGACATAAAGTCTCAAATAGTTTTCTGAGGATCTCATTTTTCTACAGGAGGAGGAGGTCAGAGAGAAAACTGGGCAGGGCTAATAGAGAGCACGGCAGAGCCTGGAAACACGCAGACCCACCCCAGAAGGTTTCCCCTGACGAACCTGCCTCCCTGCTCTGGGTGGAGCAGGGAGCGGCCTCCTTGCCTCGAGGTTCCTGATCACCAGGTGCTAATGAGGACCCCAGCAGAGAACCTCACTCCAGCTGCCATGGGGCCAGTAGAGATGAATGACAGCCCTGTGCTGCTGACTCATGTCAACTGTACCTAGCGGCACCACACCAGTGGCCGGGACATACCATCCCCCATCCACCTCCTCTCTTTGTCAACAATAGTTTCAGCCACTTTCTGGATTTTTTCAATACGTTCCAGTGAAGCAAAGGGATAGTGAACACTAGGGTGAAAAGAGAAGGCCTTCTTTTTTTTTGGAGACAGAGTCTCACTCTGTCACTAGGGCTGGAGTACAGTGGCGTGATCTCGGCTCACTGCAACCTCCGCCTCCCAGGTTCAAGCGATTCTCCTGCCTCAGCCTCCCTAGTAGCTAGGATTACCGGCACCCGCCACTATGCCCAGCTAATTTTTTGTATCTTTAGTAGAGACGGGGTTTCACGATGTTGGCCAGGCTGGAGGAAGGCCTTCTTAAAGAGGGGTTCTGACTACCCACAGCTCAGCTTCGCCACCTTTGAAAGAGACTACAGGCCCTGAAATCAAGAAAGACTTGGCCAAGAAAGCAACACCTGTGGATGCCAAGAACCCCCAGGAAAGTATCTAAACCCCCTTAATTCATAGTCCCAACTCCCAGCTCCCAGCAGGCCTGATGGCTAAGATAAAAGAAAACTTCTTATATACAACTTCATGTTAAGTATGTATGAATATAATATAATAAAATATAATAATATGATGTAAAATACATAATGCAACACAACCAGGGAACCACGCCCAGTTCTAGCAAGAAGCAATAGGTTGTTCCAGCCTTTCTCCTACACATGGATATATCACTGCCATTCATTCATTCATCCATTCTTCCATCCACCCATCCATTCATTCTATGGAAAAGCAGCACAGTGGATACAACAAAACAAAGCACAAACGTCAGGCTGGAGTCCCAGCTTCACCACCCAGTAGCTATGTGACTTAGGGTAAACCATCTAATGTCTCTAGGCCATGGTTTCCTCATCTCTAAAAGAAGTACAATTACAGTCCCTATTATTAGCGTAGTCACGGTGATTAAATGTCTAAATTAATGTGAGCGCTTGGCAAAGAGTAAGTCCTCCAGGGTTAATCATCATAATGACAATAATCATAATAATTATTATGACTATTAAAAACATTCACTCATCTATAGCTATGTGCCAGGCTCTGGACTAAGCAGCAAATAATTTCAGCTTTCTGATTTTTGCAAGAATCTTTAGTGGGGCATTGGATTTCTCATGGCAACACCTCCAATATAACCTCCCTCTCTTGCCAGGGATGAATGAGGGTGGACCCAAGCACCAGAGCTATTGACAGCATGAGGACATCCCCCGACCCCCAACCCACAGCCACATTTAAACAATCACAAGCATTATGTTGCAGGTACCTATGACCATTAAGAGGCCAACCCAGCACGGTGCTCGTCTTGCAGAGACACCTTTTGTGTGGGTTTTGGGTTACAGCTGAGCAATGCAAAGCCATAGAGTGAGTCGCAAAACAAGTTTTCATAAGCTCGACCTGTCACAAGCCAGGCAGGGGCTCATGCTGACAACTCCACAGTAAGATTAAACAGCATGCTTCGTCATGCTAAATACTAGATACTAACACAGCTCCGACGTCAGGGGGACAATGATTAAAACTGATGTCGATAATTTATGAAACACAATATGGTCTTCAGATGCTCTTTTGAAAAAAGGGAAGGGCGGGGAGGGGGGAAGGGGCCTAGCAACCCAGGTGGTTTACAACTGTTCATGCATTTTGCCTTGAATGTACACACAGCCCCACCATGCATGGGTACTTCTTTACACAATGAATGTGAATGCACATGTGTATAAAAGCATGTGAACACTGCTGATACATATGGGCGGAAGAAAGTATTTAGTTATTCCACTGAGAGCTGTCAAGGCCGTAACATTATACATCGTCTTGTCTTTCATATTGTTTTGAGGGTTGTTTGTTCCCCCCCCCCGGAAGAAATCCAAAACTGCATTTAAAGTATAACTGGGCTTTATGAACGTTCACATTTTATTCCATAGAAAGCTTGACCTTGAAACAACACCGAAAAGAAAACTGGACCAAAGAAAACATATAGGATATGTGCATTTCTTAGTCATCTATAAGGACCATGGCCCTATGTCGAAGGACTGTTCAGTCAAATGATAATATTGGTAAATTGGTAAATTTTAGGGGGTTTTCTTTGCGGGAGGGTGGGGCACAGGGTTAACCTAGGGAAGGGTACCATTTCAATTTATTATAAATCACATATCATTATTTTATAAAAGCAAAGACCAAACAGCACAGTAATAGGCTCATTGTTATTAAGACTGATTATGGGAATTAAAAAATATATACTTCTTGACTTTGCCATAGTTGTAAATACTCTGGGTAGCTTGACTTTATATGTCAACAGCGTGAAATTCGCAAGAAGAGATTATGTTGGGAGGAAAATCTGAGCCTCTGATAGTCCAAAGTTACTTTTGAAGGATTTATTAATGCTTTTTCCTAGCACAGTGCCCTTTAGTATCTCAGAACACCTGTCAAATACTAATTCATTCACATATCTCCACTACAGGGCCTTTTCATAAAAAGCTCAACCTTTAATTGTAAATCACCCCTAAATTGTCCTTGCTGTCTTTCTCTTTTACAGAATGATGGAAAAATCACTAAGACTTCAATTAAGACTTTATGGGAACTTCAATCTGATGTTCCCAGCTATATCTACAAGGTATCAGAACATCTATTCAAAAAGGAAACTATAAATAACTTTAACATAGTTGAATTGGCTTTGCTTTTATGAGATGACTGAATAATTGGCAAGATTTAAAGATACTTTAACTACTGGGAATTAAAATAACTTCAGTAAAACCCAGAAAAATATTGTTAGCCAATCATTTGTCATGTAGATTATGTACTTATTAAGCCTAATTAAACTTTTTGAACAAAAACGGTTACTAATTACATTCGTTAATATGTTGATTGCTCAATTTAGCCAATAAAAAAAAAGGTCAATCCAATTTGTGTGCATAGTTAGTGCTTTGGTCAAGAGACAAAATCCCAAACTATAGAGATTATTTCAAGTGCATGACCATCATTATAACAAACGCAGGTTACGTGTCCACATCCAAACTGACGGCAAGACCTGGGGGTGGGTGGTGAATCTGAACAATACCAACGCTAAGGCAAATCTTCAAGCCAGAGAAATTTCACCACCACATCAAGTTTATTCGCCTAAATGTATTCACTTGCATTTGTCCAATTAGACCCTGATGGTGACAAGACAAAGTTATCTTTCATATGCACATACAAACTAAAACTGATAGCAAAACCCTGGGAATCCCTTTAAATGTCAATAAAGGGCTTTTACGCACAAAGGGAAGAAAAGAAAAGAGGAAGGAGGGGGAAAAGAAGAGATGGGAAAAACCAACATTTCCGAGGGAACTGAGCAGATCAAAGGAATTTTATTCTAGAAGACTACTAAGTCGGAGTGTAACTACACTCTCTCTCTCTCTGCGAAATCTTGAAAAGTGTCTTCAGACTGGAAACTAGTTCTGATCCTTAAAAGAAAGGGGACAAACAATTATGTCTGCAAGAGCGGGACACGAGCGTAAAAATGGAGGCCTCCCTTGCAACAGGAGGCGGGAGGCCCGGCGTCTTCAGACCAGGACGCCTGACTGGGCCTCTGCGGCGATCCGGCCCTCCAAGACATGTTTTCCATTCCCTTGCTCAAAACTCTGCATCCACAGTCATGAGGCACAAACTATTCGACAACAACATGACACAATTAATCAGAACCAGACCTCAAAACGTGTGTTTGTGGGGACCAGCAAACTTTGAAATGTGCCTAAGAGGGGCAAAGCAATTGAAGAGCCTCACACTGGCTGTTTGAGATGGGGAGATGGAGAGGAAAAATCTGTACGTTCATAAAGGATGCACACCAAATGGGACATTTACAGACTAAATAATTTTCGCTCAAATAAATGTGGGCTTTGGAGCTTTACTTCCCATACTGAAAAAGTAAGGTGTAGTCTTGCTACCTCCCCTCACCCTTTTTTTCTTTTTATGGGGAGAAACTGATTTCTGAGAGCTTCTGCAGCAGCAAAGTCGTCCAATTCAGAAGCAGAACGTATCCTTTTTTAGCTTCATTTCTGACCCAGCCGTATTCACCCGGTTTTGTCAGATTTCTCTTTCAGGAAATGAAACCCTATTTAAAAAGTGAGAAGCTGGACCCTTAGTTAATTCAAAACTGTTTAATTTCACCAAAGCCTGAAGCTAATAAAAAAAATCTGGTATACTTTTTTAGACCAGAATTGAATTCGTTTAAAATAATTACTGAACGCTCCGTTGTAATCAGCAGATAGTAATTAATTGAAATCACATCATTCTTCTTTTGCTAACACAAACACGCTGTTCAAAAGAGAGACAAAAATAGTTTCAAATCATGAAAAGACAAATGGAGGGCAGGAGTGATACTCGTCGGGTACCGAACTGACCCCAAACTACAAACAGTTCTTTGCCATCTCCCAAGGGATTTGTAGGTGTGGAGTTGGAACTTCCCAGGAACTGGGCCGGGGTCCCCAACCGCGAGCCCAGCTGCAGCCTTGGGAAAGGGGGGTGGGTGCAGGTGAATCCCAGCGTCCAACCCAACGAGGGGGAAGGCAATGAATGTTTGCGTTTGGATCCAGGGTTAGCGGAGACCTATCTGCAAATGTTCTGCCAAACCCCCTCCCGGGAACATTTCTCCTGCTGCTTCTTGGCTTCGCAGAGAGCACTGGGCGCAAATTCGGGCGTCCACCACGAGCGCCACGCGAGCGAGTGGACCTGCTCTGAGCCCTCCCGGGTCCCGGGCATCGGCGAACGCGCCTCCCGCCGTTCCCTCGACCCGCGCTCCTATGAACTCGCCGCTGCGAGGCCCAGCAGCTCCCGCCCGCGGCCCCACCCGCCGCCGGCTCCGCCGCCGCACCCCACTCACCCACGCACTCGTTGGCTTCGCGGGCTGTGGCGCGCTGCCAGGGCCGGTCGTAGTGGAAGGGCTTGCAGCGGTCGCACTCCGGGCCGGCCGTGTTGTGCCTGCAGTCGCACACCAGGCTGTCGTCGCGGTCGCGCACGCAGCGGGCCGCGTGGCCGTTGCACTTGCACCGGCCGCCCACCTGCAGGTCGGACACCGCGTAGAAGTACGAGTCGCGCGCCAGCTCCGAGTCGTCCTCGTTCTCGTCGCCGAACGTGTGCAGGCGGCTGAAGGCCACGCGGATGTCTGTGGCCGTGACCCAGTCCTGCAGCACGGGCGAGTTGTCGAAGTCGTGCGCCGAGGGCCGCCCGTCCAGCGTGCTGAAGGCGATGAGGCCGCCCGAGAGCGGGCGCATGTCGGTGTGCGAGTCGGTGCACACGGCCTCCTGCTCGTTCTGCTTGGTGATGGGCGCGCGGTGCGGCCGGTTGTACATCTTGCGGCACTGCGTGGAGTAGAACTGGAAGGGCACCCACGTGCGCCCGTAGTCCATGGACTTGTAGATGGCCATGGACTCGGGCCGCGGCGAGCAGAACTGCAGGCTCACGTAGGTCACTTCGAACTTCTTGCCGAGGGACAGTGTGAGCGTGACGTTGTGCGGGAACTGCAGGTAGTTCTCGGACTGCCAGCACGTCAGGTTGTGCGGGTTGTTGAGGTCGGTGAGGAAGGCGGGCGGGTGCGCCTTCTTGGGGTCGGACGCGTTGCAGAGGTGGCACGAGCGCAGCCGCTCCTCGCCGCGCTCGCTCACCACGCAGTAGCGCGCCGGGGGCCGGCCGCAGGTGCTGGACACGCGCACGTCCTTGCCGAAGGCCGCATTGACAAAGTCCGGGATGCAGCGGCGCGGGTGGCCGTTCTCGTCCGAGCAGGGATCGGGCTGCGCCGCCTGGCCCGCGAACATGCTGAGCCCGGGCCCGCCGCGCACCGCGCCCACCAGGCACGCCACCGCCGCCAGCGCCGCCAGCGCCTCCCACACTGCGCGCATCATGCTGCGTCCAGCTTGCCCCGGCCCTGCCGCGCCGAGGATCTGTCCGCCTGCCGCAGAAGGCGCCTGCGGAGAGAAGGGAGCTGCGCTCAGCCAGCCCGCCCCGCGCCCTCCAGCTCTCGGCGGGGTGGCGAGCGGAGATGCGGGAGAACGCCCGGCTTCCTGGGCACCCACCCCGCAGCCGACTGCCCGCCTCTCTCCCCCAAAGTCCCGCGGGCGGCGAAGCCGGGGCCCTCCAAGTCCGCACCGCTCGCGCCCCTTCTTCCCCGCCCGGCGGGAGAACGCTCTGCTTCCCCGCCACCGCCGCCCCCACGCCGCCCGAGGGGCATGCCTGAGCCGGTCTCCCCGTCCGCGACCAGCCCCCCTCGCACCCCAAGTTTCGGGCGCAGGAGAGCTGGGGGACCCCGACTCTGCACGGCCCGCGCCCCTTCGTCTCGCAGCCCGGGGTCCCTCTCAGATGCCCCCCGATCGCGTCCCCGCCGGAAAGTCCGCGTTCGGGACTTTACCTCTGGAGGGGGCAAAAGAGAAAGAAAAGTTTGCCTGGCCCCT
Organism: Homo sapiens; assembly: GCF_000001405.40. Classification (NCBI taxonomy): domain Eukaryota; kingdom Metazoa; phylum Chordata; class Mammalia; order Primates; family Hominidae; genus Homo; species Homo sapiens. The sequence goes on along the minus strand of NC_000017.11, from coordinate 9,021,827 downwards.
CCGGGGAGCCCGCGCGCCGGTCGCCGGAGAGCCTCTCGCTCGCTGCTAGCAGGCGCGTCCCGCCTCAGCGCGGGCTTGCCAGCTCCATGCCCGGCGCGGCCGCCGCTGCCCCAGCCCCAGCCCCGGTCCCGGCCCCGCCGCCGCCTCTCTCGCCCGAGTGACTACGCGGCCGCCCGGCTCCCGCCGCTCCCGCCGAGCTCGGAGTGCTGCCCTGCCCGCGCCCGGGGCGCACACACACTCACGCTGGCCGGCGCGCACTCACACACACGCGCGCTCGCCCCCGAAGGCTCCGCCGCCGCCGCCACTCGCGCTGGGAGTGAGGGGCGGAGGGGAGCGCGGGGGCGGGGGGCGGGGCCGCCGGGCGGGGCGCCGGCCAATAACGTCCGCGAGCTGCCGCCAGCTCCGAGCAAAGTTTTCACCCCGGGAAAGAAGAAAGTTAAAGGGAACCGGCCCGGACGCCCGAGAGGGAGAGCACAGGCGGGTGGGAACCCGGGAGCCCGAGAAAGAACAGCAGAGACAAAGAGAAAGCGAGGAGAGCACCCGGGGAAACCCCGGAGAGGGGGCTGGGCCGGGCCAGGCGCGCACCCCGTGGGGGAGGAGGGGCCGCCGGGGACTGTCAGCCTCGCCCGCGCCCCGCGCCGCCCGGAGAGCCTCACGCCCGGGGGAGCGCGCGGGCGGGGGAAGGGGGCCACTTTCTCCCTCCCGGTCCCAGCCAAACACATCTGTGTTTGTTTTCTTTGCTGCGCGGAGGTCGGGCCTTCCTCTAACCCAGCCTGATGGCCCCCGGTGGCACCGCGCACAGGGCTGTGCCCCTGTGGGCACGCAGCCCGGGAGCGTGAGGAAGAGGAGGAGGATGTGACCTCTGCCTGCTCTCCATTTTTGCCCGAAGCCCCCGGGGTCCGGCGAGGAGGGGCTGCTCGCCCGCACTCCCACGGATATCACCGTGCGTGAGCCTGTCTGTCGGGAACGCGGCTTCGTTCTAGCCAAGGGAGCAGTGGTGGGCAGGAGGCTGAAGGGGTAGGAAGCTGGCAGCACCTGGACGCTGGCCACCGCCCCTCCAAGACGGGCCTGCCTGGTCTCAGGCATGGGGACAGCCCAGCCCTCCCCAGATCCCCTGAGGCAGGCGTATCGGTACTTCCTCAACCGCATTTTTAAGGGTGCAAAGCCCTGTAATAGCTCATGGGACCTCCACAGCAGCTTTGCTGTTGTATTAACTCCATTTTGCAGATGAGGAAACTGAGGGTCCCGGGAGCTGAAGAAACTCGCACAAGATCAACCCCCAAGTAAACATCAAAAACAGGAAGAGAAGCCTGGGCTCCTTCCACTGCAGGGCATTCGTCAAATGCATAACCTTGCCGAATGATGGTGTCATGGGGCATCTGCGGGGCCACCCAGCCCCTCCTTGCCTCATTCTCCATCGCCCCAATAAAAAGACTGAGGACAGTGACAGCATCCTTTGGTCATCTTGCAACAGCAGCCAGAGAGCTCTGGGAAAGGAATACACTGGGCCGAGAGTTTGGAACGGAATCTCTGCTCGTTTATTTGTTACTTGTAGATGTGTGGTCCAGTAATAGACCCGGATGAAAAGCCCCAGGTCCTGGTTCCGGCCCAAGGGCTGCCTTGCTGCATTAGCTCCATTAAGTGCCTCAGTTTGTCTTATTGGCATTTTCATAAACCCTGAGAATCTAAGAAGGGGCCTCGGGGCTCGTCTGGCCCAGCTCCGTCTCCTTGGAAGAAGGCCTTCCCCAGCCTCCCAGAGAGACGGCCACCCAAGCCAGCTCTTCCAGGGATGGGAGCTCACCACAGCTCAAGAAAATAAATCCATTCCATTGCAGGACAGCCTGGATTCATCTTCTTACCCCGGGGTAGCAATTTAGCTGTGCCTTCTTGTGCCGTTTACCACACTCTGCACTGTTTATTTATGCCTTACCTCACCTTGTGGCAGAAAGGATTTCAGGTAACTTACAAGGGTACATAAAATATGACACAATAACAAATTAAAAGTGAGGTCAAAGGAAATAAATGAAATGGTTAACCATGGTGACCTGTGAAATCGCAATGGTATACTGAAAGGCAGCATAGCTCTTAGGAGGAAACGCTTCGGAGCCAGGGTACCTGGGTTCAAATTCTGCCTCTGCTGTGTGACTATGGAAAGTCTATGCCTTGGTTTCCTCCATCTGTACAAGGGAGATAATACTTTCTACCCCACTGGGTTGTGAGCATCACGTGAGTTGACACATTTGAATATTATAGCTGATGGGATATAGACATACATATTGCAGGTCTGTAACACATATAAATAGGCTTTCTCATGTATGCAAATGTAAATATGCATAAAACCAGGCACATAGTACATGCATATAGAAATGTTAGCTGTTAGTATGAGGTCGCTTGATCTATACAGAAATTTTAAATCATTTAGAGAACACTTAATTACAGGGAAAGATGTTCATGACATATTATAATATGAAAAAAGCAAATTAAAAACACACAGTATAATGTCATTTTAATTTTTTAAAAAGTATGCATAAAAAGACAACACAGTTAATAGTGGTTATCTCGGAATAATGAGATTACAGGTGATTTTTATTTATCTTTGCTTGTATGCTCTCAGTTTTGCACAGTAAAATATGAAGTAAGAGAACAAAGAAAAGCTAAGAAGGGAGACAAAGTCGAGAGGAGGATACAGGTCCAATGCACCCTGGAGTTCCAACCTCTACACCTCTTCTGAGTGGGCCACAAATTTGTCCCTAAGCTTTCCTGCAGCTAAAATGAGGAGACCATGTTCATTACACAATTCCCAGTGTCCATGAGATAAAAACAGACCTACTGCTCAAGGGAATTACAACTATTCTTGGTACTAAAATCAGATAGGAATTTCTTGTGGGGGCGTGGCCCAGAAAGGGAACACAGTATGGGGTAATGAGCAAACGTCCCTGACAACATCCCCAAAACAGTCACAACAGTGAGCTCGGTTGGACAGTTTCTGTGATCCCCCTGAATGTAAGCTGATGGCATCGCATCAAAACCCAAGTCAGGAAAAGACATTCCAGCAAAGAGGAATGGAAAAGAAGCAAATTGGGGTGCTCAGCTGACTGGGGTACCTTTTGGAGCATCTACAAGACTGGATTGAGAAGTGCTTTCCAAGCCTTCCTCCTGAATGTTGTTTCTGTCCACAGAGCCTTTTTTTTTTTTTTTTTTTTTAAGATGGAGTCTTGCCCTATTGCCCAGGCTGGAGTGCAATGGCGCATTCTCAACCTCTGCCTCCCGGGTTCAAGCGATTCTCCTGCCTCAGCCTCCCAAGTAGCTGGGATTACAGGTACCCACCACCACACCTGGCTAATTTTTTTGTATTTTTAGTAGAGACGGGGTTTCACCATGTTGGCCAGACTGGTCTCAAACTCCTGACCTCAAGTGATCTGCCCGCCTCGGCCTCCCAAAGTGCTGGGATTACAGGAGTGAGCCACCGCGCCCAGCCTATGTCCACAGAGCTTTTGATGGCCCTTGCATGGCAGTAAGTTTGAAATGGCTCTTGGTAGAGTGTGGCTTTTCTACATTGCCAGCTGAGCTTAGGCCAGGGGTCTTCAGGAGAGGATGAGCGGGGTCACCTTCCAGTTTTATTGTGGTCACTTAGGTCTACGCTTATCATCTTTAGTAGTTCCTGGTGAGCAGGACTGTCTTACTCACCTTGTATCCAGGAGGTCTAGAACCTCCTGTAATACGGTGGAACTCCTCTACGTCCATTCCAAACCCCCCTCTCTGTTAAGTCTGCAGGTGGCCCAAACCCTACGCTACACAGCAGCCCAGATCAAGGTTCTCTGCCTCTTCAGATTCTTGAAACCAGTCCTCTATCATCCCTCAGTTTTATCTCTTCTGGGCAAAATGTTCCCAGTTATCTTAATGATTTCCCATAGGACATTGTTTTCTGACCACTCTGCAGCCTCTTCCATCCCTTCTAATTCATCAGTGTCCTTTCCTAACGCAGCCTGTCTGTTGAGGGGACAAATGAAAAAAACAGATGTCCAAGTGTCGTGAGAAGTTCTTAAAGTGGCGGTGATAAATACACACCCGTGAAGGCATGTCAGGCTCTAAGCAGCGGGATCCACAGAGCAAACTGGAGTTCAAAACGCAACAGTGCAGATTTTGGGTGAGAAAGCAAATCACCAGGTGTTTCTGCAAGGAATGCGTTGAGAGGCGGAAACACCGTTCCTGGCACACTGTCTTACCTGTGAAGCCAGACGGATCACCCTAGGAGGGGGAGAATGCGGCAGTTTCAAGAAAACTTTTAAGTAGCCAGAGGAGGAGGAGGAAAACCAGGGGACTCGGGTGTTATAGAAACCAATGGGTAAGAGCGTTGCAAGGAAGGAGGGGTGCTGAGCAGTGTTGAGTCACATGCCTTAAAGGTCAAGATAAGATCTGAAACAAGTCCTTTGGATCAAACTACAAGGAAGTCATTGGTGACCTTGACTAGTGGTTGCAGGGAGTGGTAGGGACAGAAGCCAGGCTGTCTGGGGTTGTGGAGTGAACGGGAGGTGAGAAAGTGGAAATAGCAGGTGTAGACAACTTTCAAGAAAGTGTGAATATAAGTGGCAGGAAAGATAGAGGGTCACAGCAGGAAGGTGACATAGGATTGAGGGAAGGTTGGGATTTTTTATTGTTGTTTGTAAGATAAGGCTATTTGACCATGCCTAAATGTTGATAGGAACTGGAGCCAGCAGGAGGAGAGAGGTGGAAGACAGATAAAACTATGCTTGTAAAACTGGTGGTCAGGTGGTCTCCAAGTGTCTCTTGTTTCAATGAAATAGGAAGTGACACCATCTGCTGAGGATGGGGGAGGAGCTGGGAGCACTGGAGGCTTGAGGTCATTAGAGAGAAGAGGATAATGCTTGCTGGGCAGAATTAAAGGGCCTATTGAAGTTTGTGACTATCTATGAGAAAGAATGGCAGCCAGCAAGGCCATGAGACACACATGCCCTCTTCCCCAGCAGCGCCCAGCAGCCTTTGGATAGACCTAGAGAAAGAGACAGTTGGATTAATCTCAAGTTGAGAGTGTTTTCCAGGAGGTGGGACAGAAGGAAAGGGGAGTGGGTGGCTGATATGATGGGCCAGGGCGACAATGCCAAAGAAAGAAGGAAAACAGGACAGGATGGAAGAGGAAACAGAGAGGCCAGGGGCTAGAGCTGTGCTGTTCAATATGGTAGCCAGTCACCACATGTAGCTACTTCAATTTCAACTTGAATTAATTAAAAATGAGTAACATGGAGAGCTTAGTTGCCTAGTTGCCCCTAATTTGGACAGCACCAATAAAGAAAAATTCCCTTATCACAGGAAATTCTGTTGGATAGCTAAAGGATTCAAGAAAAGAGAAGACTATGAGGTGGGGAATAACTGAGGAGGTTGTGGTCCAAAACTAGAGGATTCCAGAGGTGGAACAGCTCTGGGGGATGACAAGGCCTTCCGAGGACAATAAGAGGGGGACTTCTGCTGTGAGGCAGAATGGAGGGTGATTAGAGACGAGACGGCCACGGTGCTGGACGGGCTGTCCACCTGGGCTCTAAAGACCTTTGGAACCAGCATCAGAGTTTGGGGCAGAGACGAAGACTGACCAGTGCTGGTGTCTTCAAAGAAAGAAAAGAGTGAAATTGACTGGGAGGTCATTCTAAGGATGAGATGTAGAAGGTGGGACAGCCGTGTGGTTCTGGCCTTAAAGGAACAGGAGTTTTGTGGGGGTTTTTTTGTTTTTGCTTTTTTTTTTAGATAAATTTTGCTCTTGTCGCCCAGGCTGGAGTGCAATGGCACTATCTCGGCTCACTGCAACCTCCGCCTCCTGGGTTCAAGCAATTCTCCTGCCTCAGCCTCCCAAGTAGCTGGGATTACAGGCGCCCACCACCATGCCTGGCTAATTTTTTTTGTATTTTTAGTAGAGACAGGGTTTCATTATGTTGGCCAGGCTGGTCTCGAGCTTCTGACCTCAGGTGATTCGCCCGCCTTGGCCTCCCAAAGTGCTGGGATTACAGGTGTGAGCCACCACGCTCGGCCCGGAGTTTTGTTTTGTTTTGTTGTTGTTTTAATGAAGAGGGAAGGAGCATTGGGAATGGAGGAGGACAACAGCGCCCCACTCCTGGGTCTTAGGGATGTGTGGTTTGGAAGAAGGACAGCACCTCTGAGAAGGACTGCAGTGCAACTGGGATGAGCATGAGGGTGGGAGGAGCAATCAGTGAGGAGGACGAGGATACAGGGGAGGGTACACTCCAGGAACGGGGGCACCAGATGGCACAGGCTAATGTTTGTGAGGAGGGAGGACAAGAAGAGAACAAAGGCTTAGGAGAAAAGGGGTGGCCGGGGGTGCCTTTGTCTTGGGTGTGACCAAGGGTTTTCCTTTTAATTTTTTAATTGTATTTATTATTATTATTATTTGAGACAGAGTCTCACTCTGATGCCCAGGCTGGAGTGCAGTGGCACGATCTTGGCTCATTGCAGCCTCTGCCTCCTGGGTTCAAGCAATTCTCCTGCCTCAGCCTCCCAAGTAGCTGGGATGACAGGCACCCGCCACCACACCCATCTAATATTTATATTTTTAGTAGAGATGGGGTTTCACCATATTGGCCAGGTTGGTCTTGAACTCCGGACCTCAAGTGATCCACCTGCCTCGGCCTCCCAAAGTGCTAGGATTACAGGCATGAGCCACCGTGCCTGGCTGAGTTTTCCTTTTTAAATCAAGCATTATGTGTAACATTTACTGTGTGCCAAGCATCTACTAAGCACTTTGATATTCCTTAGTTCACAATCTTCATAAACACCATGTAAGATAGGTATATTATTGTGTCCATTTTACTGGAGGAGGAAACTGAGACACAGAGAAATAATTTGCTGAAGATCACATCACTGGTAGGTAGAGAAGCAGTGTGTGAACTAAAATAATCTAGGTCCAGAGTTTGGAGCTCTTAGTCAGAACCTGTGGGTAAGATGGGCTTGACTGGGTCTCAATCATCCCTGAGAGGAAGGATGGGCTTCTGGTCTACCAAGAGTATGAGCTGTGTGGTCTGGATGGACTGTGCTTCTTAACACCTCTGGTCCAGTTAAGAGGACAGACCCTAGATGACTCAGTTCCCAGTACTCCCAGTAGTACAGCCTGGGAATTGCAGCAGGCAGAGGTGACCAGGAGGATTTGGCCTCTCCAGGAGGGTGAGCAGTGGCCTGGATTCATAGTGTTTCCTTCCCAGATTGAAAGAACTTGACTTGGACAGGCCTTGGTTCCAGTGTGCCACTTCCTAATGGTGTGACTCTGGGCAAGTTGCTTGCCCATCTGAGCATCCATTTTTTTCATGGTGAAATGGGGTCACTGCATTCACCTTTATAGGGTTGGTCGGCGATTTTAAAACTTGGATCTGAAAGGAAAGACCCTGGCAGAGAGTAGATGGATGTTCAATGTATAGTAGGTTTTGAGTTGTTTTGTTTTTGCTTTTTTTCATATGTATAATTCTCAGGTCTGCCTACCAGATCTCTTACCCTAGAAGTACGAGGGACAGTCTTTCATTTCAAGGCATCTAGAGCCCAGCTCACCTGATAGGCTGCATGGAGGATTACTCAGGGAATCCCAGGTCCCTGGACAGGATTTCAGGAGATGTGACTGTCCTGGAAAAGGCTTTAGAACATGGGGAGCAGGCCAATCTAGTGGGAAGCGTTCCTGGAGATATCCATTTCCCCAACGTCGTTTATCTGTATCTTCAGCTCAGGCCTCCCCCTTTGCAGGTGTCTTGGCTGAGAACTCAGGAGCTGGGCATAGAAGCCCATACAAACCCCAAATCCTCCAAATCCTTTAATCTACCAGGGCTCTTTGAAGGGGTGAAAATGCCTGTGGATGGGGGAACCAGCAGATGTAATTTATTTTCATTTGCAAAAAGCTTTTGACAAGGTTCCACCCCAAATGCTATTAAAATAAAGAAAATGGGTCACTGTGTAGGGAGGCTTTGTCATGGATGGAAGACAGGCCTTGAGGAAGGAACAAAGGGTGCAAAGAAAAGGATGTTGCTCCAGATGGAGAAAATAGTGGGGGGCCTCTGAGCCAGAGTTGGGGCTCAGCTTGTTTACCGGTTACACAGACTCTGAAGGAGGGAATCCCCTCGTGAAACCTCAAGGTTTAGAGATGACACTGGACTGATGGCAACAGCAAGAGGATGAACTGGAGAATCTCAAGACCTTGTGTGAATGGGCCAGGGAACAGGTTAGCAGGTGATGGATCTGGGAGACATCATTTAAAATACTCTTAGAGAATGAAAGGTTATCAGTGAAGATGATAGAAAAATATTACTGGCCGGGCGAGGTGGCTCACACCTGTAATCCCAGCACTTTGGGAGGCCGAGGAGGGCAGATCACCTGAAGTCGGGAGTTCAAGACCAGCCTGACCAACATGGAGAAACCATATCTCTACTAAAAATACAAAATAAGCCGGGTGTGGTGGCGCATGCCTGTAATCCTAGCTACTTGGGAGGCTGAGGCAGGAGAATCGCTTGAACCTGGGAGGCGGAGGTTGCAGTGAGCCGAGATTGCACCATTGCACTCCAGCCTGGGTGACAAGAGTGAAACTCTGTCTCAAAAAAAAAAAAAAAAAGAAAAAGAAAAAAGAAAAAAAGAGTGTTTCTCTGTAGAGGTGGTATTGGCATTGTGGTAGGAAGATTCTTCCCTGGGCAGAACAGACCTGGCTACCACAGGACACTTAGCATCCCTGACCCCTGTCCACTAAATGCCAGCAAGTTCCACCCACCCCTGACACACACAACACACACACCATACACCAGTCATTATGACAACCAAAAAATGGCTCCTAGAATGTATACATCCCCCTTTAAAGAGCCATCCCACCCCCATTCTGATTTACTTGAAATTAAGCCCAATGTGCTACTAAGAAAAGTAAAAGAAAATAAAAAGCAAACTACATTCTCAGGAAGAGAATTGGAAATGAAACAGGATGCGTTTAGGATCTTCTGACAACTTCTAGTTATCACATCTCAACATCCTTGTGGTGGCTGAGCTGACCCAGACAATAGCAACTCCACTGTGGTACATCAGAAGCACAAACAAAGCAGGGGAGGGAACAGGACGTGCCAGGAGGGGAGGTGGATTTTAAGCAGGTACTTGGGGAAGGACTCCCTAAGAAGGATCCAGTAGAGCAGAATGAGTGAAGTGAGGAAGGAAGCTCTGGGGACAGATGTTATTTGGGGGAAGGGTACATTCAGGCAGAGGGAACGGCACGTGCAAAAGTCCCAAGACAGAGCTTGTTTTTTTTTTTTTGTTTTGTTTTTGTTTTGTTTTGTTTTGAGATGGAGTCTTACTCTGTCACCCTGGCTGGAGTGCAGTGGTGCGATCTCAGCTCACTGCAACCTCCGCCTCCCGGGTTCAAGTGATTCTCCTGCCTCAGCCTCCCAAGTAGCTGGGACTACAGGCATCCGCCACCACGCCCAGCTAATTTTTGTACTTTTAGTAGAGATGGGTTTTACCATGTTGGCCAGGCTGGTCTCGAACTCCTGACCTCAGGTGATCCACCCACCTCGGCCTCCCAAAGTGCTGGGATTACAGGCGTGAGCTGCTGCGCCTGGCCCAGAGCTTGTTTAAGTAATGAGATGGGGAGTGGTAGGGATGAGCTCAGAGGGGAGGCTGAGAGCTAGACCAAGCAGGGCCTTGCAGACTTTGATGGGGAATTTGAGCTCATCAAGATCCATCTTAGATACCTTTAAGGCCCAGATTCCTTCTTTTCCACATAGCTCTGATTTTCATAGCGTCTGAGGAAGGAACTATTCTTTTCCCTCAGAATCCCCAGGGTTTAACAGACTGCCTGGCACAAAATAGGAGTGCACTACAAATTAATTGACTAAAGACCACAGAATTATGGACAGTTAAAGTGGTGACCAGCTCTGTGCGGTGAGCTAAAAAAGCCCCCCAGGGCCAGGCGCAGTGTCTCACACCTGTAATCTCAGCACTCTGGGGGGCCGAGGTGGGTGGATCACGAGGTCAAGAGATCGAGACCATCCTGGCCAACATGGTGAAACCCCATCTCTACCAAAAATACAAAAATTAGCTGGGCATGGTGGTGCGCACCTGTATTCGCAACTACTCAGGAGGCTGAGGCAGGAGAATCACTTGAACCTGGGAGGCAGAGGTTGCAGTGAACTGAGATCGTGCCACTGCACTCCAGCCTGGCTACAGAGCCAGGCTCCGTCTCAAAAAAAATGCCCCCCCAAAAGATATCCATATCTGTAATCCCTGGAACCAGTGAATGTTACCTTATATGGGTGTAAAAGGGTCTTTGCTGACGTGATTAAGGGTCTTGAGATGGAGAAATTGTTATGGCATATCGGGATGGACTCTAAATGTAATCATAGTTATCCTTACAAGAGACAGGCAGAGGGAAATCTGACAAGACAGAAGAGGATAAAGCTGCGTGAGACAGAGGCAGAGATTGGAGCCATGCAGCCACAAGCCAAGGGATACCAGCAGCCATGAGAAGCTGAAGGGCAAGGAAAGGATCCTTCCCTACAGCGGGGGTCCCTAACCCCCAGACCAGGAACTACCACTAGTCTGTGGCCTGTTAGGAACGAGGCCACACAGCAGGACATGAGCAGCTTGAGCAAGGGCAAGGCAGCTAAGCTTCGTCTGTATTTACAACCACTCCCCATCGCTCGCATTACCACCTGAGCTCTGCCTCCTGTCAGATCTTCAGCTGCGTTAGATTCTCACAGAAGCAAGAATGCTGTTGAGAACTGCACATGAGAAGGATCTAGGCTGCACATTCCTTATAAGGCCCTAAGTCTTGATGATCTGTCACTGTCTCCCATCACCCCCAGATAGGACCATCTAGTTGCAAAAAAACAAGCTGAAGCCTCACACTGATTCTACATGATGGTGAATTGTATAATTATCTCATTACACATTACCATGTAATAATAATAGAAATAAAGTGCACAATAAATGTAATGCGCTTGGATCATCCCAAAACTATCCCCTACCCCCACGCCCATGGAAAAACTGTCTTCCACAAAACTGGTCCTTGGTCCCAAAAAGGTTGAGGACCGCTGCCCTACAGCCCTTAATTGCAACCCATTGATACCAATTTCAGACTTCTGGCCTCCAGAACTGTGAGAGAATAAATTTCTGTTGTTTTAAGCAACCATTTGTGGGAATTTGTTACAGCAGCCGCAGGAAACTAATATCCCAGCAAATCTCAGAAATGCCAGAATTAAGAGTCTTCTTCAAATCTTAAAAGACATGCTTGGGGCAAATGAAAGGAACAAAATGAGAGACCACTAACACGCTGGTCTTAAAACATTCATGAAGTCTTCCTTTGGGTTTTCTTCTTACGGGAAGTGACCACATCTCACTGCTCCTTCCCTCCCCACAACACTGAGTTCAGAGCAGTCAACAGAAGCTTGCCAAGTGCTTGCTGTTTGTATTAAGGTATTGTAAACCTCTTCTCTAGAGGCCACGGTTGCAGCACCCGTTACAACCCAGATCACAGTCCAGAAGTAAGTGAATAGCCTCCTGGGCATTTGAGAGAACAGTAGCCAAGACACAGGGGACTTCAGTCTGCAGGGACCCCAGGAGTTCTTCATTTACAAGACTTTATAACCTTAGGTCAGACATCTTCTGTTCTTCCAGGGGACTGGAGAGCCACAGCTTAAGATCCTTGGGGACATGGTGACTGCTGAACATGGATGCACTGAGAAGTGACAGCTGACAGTAGAATCCTATCCCAGCCACCATTCAGGGAGGCAAGACTGGTCCTGCAACCACCAAAAATTCCCAAGGGCTTTACTGTATGAGAGCCCAGCAGAGTTAGAGAAGGACAGAGGCGGCCCTTAGAGAGTATCTCATCCAAAGTTCCCCAGATTACGAGTGAGGAAACTGACGTCAGGGAGGTTGAGCAAATTGCCCAGGAGCTGCTGTTTCCAGAGATGGCTGTGAGTCATCAAAACGGGTTGGGGGCCACTCATTCAGCCACACCTAGGGAACACCTGCTGTATTCAATTCCGCTAACTTAGGCGGGGGAAAAAAGTCATGATTTTGATGGAAAAATGTTTTTCATGAAATATGATTCCATAAAAAGTTTCTATGCTTCAAGGAGTAAGCTACTGTTAACTGCAAAAACCAATTATGTAGAACAGCTTATTTCCCCCAAATGTCAGTAAAATGAGGTATTGCTGGTTTATATATCACACAGAAAGAAAATTTAGAGGATTTAACTCCAAGGATGAAAACAGACATGGATCATTGATTCCAAACAGAATGGTTAAGTGCATGGATTATTCAACCATAATAAGATGGCAAAGGAAACTAAGATTTGGTGGGGAAGGAAGGAATGTCCCCCTCACCTGTGGATGCTGATATCAGGCAGGAGCATCACCATGCCAGCCCCCAGAATAATGCCAGAAACTACGCAGAAGGTGGGAAGGACATGACCTCGCCCAGGGAGCCACTTCCTAGCCTCTGGCCAAGCACCTGCTTTATGGGGTCGCCCAGAGAGCGCTGGTTTCCAGGTCTGCTTGCAGGGAGCTCCATGGGTGGTCAGCAGGGTGATGCAGGCCCAAGAGGACTGTTTGGATTTCAAGCAGGTACTTGGGGAAGGACTCCCTAAGAAGGACCCAGTAGAGCAGAATGAGTGAAGTGAGGAAGGAAGCTCTGGGGACAGATGTTATTTGGGGGAAGTGTACATTCAGGCAGAGGGAATGGCATGTGCAAAAGTCCCAAGACAGAGCTTTTTTTGTTTTGTTTTGTTTTTGTTTTGTCTTGTTTTGAGATGGAGTCTTACTCTGTCACCCTGGCTGGAGTGCAATGGTGCGATCTCAGCTCACTGCAACCTCCGCCTCCTGGGTTCAAGTGATTCTCCTGCCTCAGCCTCCCAGGTAGCTGGGACTACAGGCATCCACCACCATGCCCAGCTAATTTTTGTATTTTTAGTAGAGCTGGGGTTTGGATTGTACCCTAGTCAGACATAGTCCCCTCCGTTAACATCTCCGTGATGCTGGGCAAATCACTTCACCTCTGTAAGTATCAACTTCCTCTTCTGAAAAATGTGGATAGTAATCTTCCTTCCTTGTTCTCCCGCCCTCTCTTCCTTCCATGGATATCAGGAGTATTGAGTAAAAAACCATATGCAGAAGACCCTAAAGTGTCCAAAGCCCTAAACAATTTTCATAAAGTTGCATAGACTGCTGGGTGCACAGTGGCTCATGCCTGTAATCCCAGCACTTTGGGAGGCTGAGGTGGGCCAATCATTTGAGGTCAGGAGTTCGAGACCAGCCTGGCCAACACGGTGAAACCCTGTCTCTACTGAAAATACAAAAAATATCAGCTGGGCGTGGTGACACATGCCTGTAACCCCAGCTACTGGGGGAGGCTGAGGCAGGAGAATCACTTGAACCCAGGAGGCCGAGGTTGCAGTGAGCTGAAATCGCACCACTGCACTCCAGCCTGGGGGACAGAGTGGGACTCCATCTCAAAAATAAATAAATAAATAAACTAATTAATTAATTAACTTAAATTAAAAAGTTGCCTAGAACCAGCAAATCCAGTGATACTGCCATCACCAAGCTTACTACAGGGCAAACAGAGATCATGTACAGGACAGTGATGACTGGCACCACAGAGACACTGGGCTTTAGTGTTAATGAGCATCAATAATGTATTGTTAATAAGCCATTAATAATAAGACAATGAGAATGAATAGTAAATATCAATACAAAGTATCCACTTCAGCTCAGGGTCAGATAGATCACTCAAGAACAGAGTCTAAGTCAAGTGCATTGGCTCACACCTGCCATTCCAGTACTTTGGGGAGCCGAGGTGGGAGGACACTTGAGGCCAGGAGTTTGAGACCAGCCTGGACAACACAGCAAAATCCTATCTCTACAAAAATAATAAGAATAATAATAAATTATTTGCAGGCATTGTGGCTTGCACCTGTGGTCCCTGCTACTTGGAAGGCTGAGGTGGGAGGATAGCTTGAGCCCAGGAGTTGGAGGTTACAATGAGGCATGATCATGCCACTGTACTCCAGCCTGGGTGACAGAAGGAGACCCCATCTCTAAAAGCAAGCAAGCAAGCAAGAAAGAAAGAAAGGAGGGAAGAAAGGAAGAAAGGAAGGAAGGAAGAAAGGAGAAGGAGGGAAGGAAGGAAGGGAGGGAAGGAAGAAAGAAAAGAAAGAAAGGAAGGAAGGAAGGAGAAGGAAGGAAGGAAGGTAGGAAGGGAGGGAAGGAAGAAAGAAAAGAAATAAAAGAAAAGAAAGGAAGGAAGGAAGGGAGGGAGGGAAGGAAGAAAGAAAAAAGAAAGAAAGATAAAGAGAAAGAAAGAATGAATGAATGAAAGAAAGAGAAGGAAGGAAGGGAAGAAAGGAAGGAAGGGAAGAAAGAAAAAGAAAGAGAGAAGAAAAGAAGAGAGAAAGAGAGAAAGACAAGGAAGGAAGGAAAGAAAGAAAAGAGAGAGAGAAAGAGAAAGAAAGAAAAAAGGAAGAAAGAAAGGAAAAGAAGGGAAAGAAAGAAAGAAGGAAGGAAGGGATGAAAGAAAAGAAAGAGAGAAAGAGAAGGAAGGAAGGAAAGAAAGAAAAGAAACAGAGAGAAAGAAAGGAAGAAAAAGGAAGGAAGAAAGAAAGGGAAGAGAGAGAAGGAAGGAAAGAAAGGAAAGGAAGAAAGAAAAAAGAGAAAGAAAGAAAGAGAGAGAAAAAAGAAAAGAAAAGAAAACAATGGAGTCTCGTAATCACAATTGTACTCGTAATTATAACCATGGCGGCTAGCATTTCTTGAGCACTTACTGTCAGGCCCCGTGGAGGGAGCTGGTATGCTGGGTCTTGGCCAGGGGGCTTGGTGAGGCCATGATGGCGGTGGAGAAGCTGGAAGTGAAATTGTGAACAGCTTCTCTTCTTAGGGAAGACAGGGAAGGAGAGGATAACCCAGAACTATAGGCCCCAAGAGTGGGTGCTACTAATATATCTTTCTTGTTCCCTACTGTAACCCTGAGTACCCAGCACAAAACTTGACACATTGTGATCACTCAAAAATGTTTGCTAAATGAACACAGAAGGGCCCTACCAGGGCATCCATATGCAAGGAACATGGATTTCTTGGTGTCCAGGGCCATATCTGGGCATAGCATTAGTTGGGTTAATTTGGTTCTGCATCCATGAACCTTCATTTCCCATCAATTCTTCTTCCACATAAAGAAGATTCATGTTGCACGTCATGTTGGCTTGGCCCTAGAATGTGGATGATGTCCTTGCCATCATCAAAATCTCACAATCTGTGATGTGCACACACACACCTCACATCTCCTGGCTCCGGATTGGGAGTCCAGCCTTTTCAACAGAGCCAAGGCCCCTCCCTGCACTGGGTGTCCTCGCTCAGCATCCAAAGGGCTCAGGAGTCCACCACCTCCTGCCTGGGCCCCCTCAGCGAAGATCTGATTTTCTCATCATCTGGATAGTCTCAGCGACTCGCAGCAAAGGGATGAACCAAGCTGACCTTTCTGGAGGTTTGTTTAAAGCAGAACAATGTTTGTCTTGTCCAAACACTATGAATTACTCCAGAGAAGCCTGCCCAGTTTTACAATTCGCAGCTACAAATGGCTTACATAAATAGGGACTTGTCCCCCCCACTACCCACCACCCCCGTACCTGATGGCTTCTCCTCCCCCTACCCACTTTCTTCCACTTTTCCAGGCCTTCTCTTTGCCCCTCCACCGCCCACTTCACACCTCCAAACCCCAGCATGCTGAAGGGGCAGGTGCTGGCATTCTGGGCCACAGCTCACACCTGGGTTATTGCTGGCATGGGTCCCCCTATGGCCGGCTGCTCTGTCCCTGGCGTGGGCAGATTTGCCTTGCCAAGGGGGGCCTCTGGGCACATTTGTACTGTCTGTGTGGGGCCTGCAGTGTGCAGTGTTAGGTCCAGCTGTGAAAGCACATTGGTAAGAGAAGGCCCCTGGGTTTGGGGACTCAACATCCAGGCAGCCTGCGGTGCACTCTGGCCTCTCCTCATCTGGCTGGGTGCACAGTTCACCCCCTGCCGCTCCCTCATTGGCTGCACATTCTGGAGGATACTGGAGCATCTCCTAGAAATAGACCTCACCCACTATGGCCTCCAGTCTGGGAGGACACCGAAAAGACTGTTCTGCAGATCATATGTGACGCACATAGAACAAGCAAAGCCCATGGTCCTGGGAGAGAAGGGCCTGCTAGGTAAAGAACCTGATTTGGGCTGCATTCCCCTAAATATGGTCCTTATACCACCTGCATCAACATGCTTCAGGATGCTTGTTTAAAATGCAGCCTTCTGGGCCCCTCCCCAGACGTAGGGAAGCTGTGGGGCAGCGGTGGGGAGGAGGAGGGAGGGTGTGTGTGTATGTGTGTGTGTGTTGGGTCGGGGTGGGGGCGGTTGGAAGTCTGATGCCCAGAGTCCGAGATTCACTGTTTGCCATGAAATCCATTCTGGCTCAAGCCCTCTAATTAGCTGGGTGACAACTGCAAGTCACTTTAGGCCTCAATATCACTATCTGTATAATGGCTCTAGAATCTGTGGAAGGATGTTTCCAACTCTTAGAAAGCGTGATTTCAAGGACAGCTGGATATCAGAACCCGAAAGCCACAAGGGGTGGGTGGAGGCAGCCTGAGAGAAAATCTGGGAGTCGCTAAAGCTCCCAGGAGAATGTTGGTGAAGACGTGGAGAGATGCGGGGGAGGTGCAGCAAGGTTGGTGGTCAGTGGTGGGAGCGGTGCCTGGGATCCTTCTACTGAGAGCCCCCTTACTTGGGGCCACATGTGATCTCATTTTATCCTTGTTTTGCAAATGAGGAAACAGACACAGAGGGGAGGGATGACTTCCACTCAGAAGTTGATGAGTAGTACGGAGATTCCATCTCCCCTACACACCTGGGACACGCATCTGGCCATTCCAGAAACTCCCCTTCGTCCCAGCTGTGTCAGTTCTGCCTCTCAACCGAGCTAAGATTTCGCCATAGAGCCACAGCTCTTTCTCTTCTCCCAGTGGCAGGATTCCACTGGGTGAAAGGGCCCAGGGCCAAGTCGGCCGGGTGAGGTGGATACACGCTGAACCCCGAAGACGGGAAAATCCAGAGTCTGGAGCTTCACCTGGCTAGAGCCGAGCCAGCCCTACCCACTGGAGGCGCCACAGCCTGGCTGAAGGCGCTGGCGCGGCGCGGTCCTCTGGATTAGGGCTGCGGCGGGAGCGCACGATCCCGCTGCACCAGTGGGCTGGGGGTGCCGCAACAGGAAGGCCCCAGCATTCAAACTCCGTAGGCCGTACGTGCCCAACACTTAGCGCGTCACCGGATCCAGAAGGGATCAAAGGATAAAGCCTCCGTCACCCGCTCAGCAGATGTCCCCAGGCGGACCCGAGGGTCCCAACAGGGGTGGCGAGCAGGAGGCCGGGGAAGACACCGTGTCACCTTCCAGGCCGCGAGGGCGACGGGGCTGATAGCACAAGGAACTCGGAATAAAAAGTCTGTGCAGGTCGACCCTGTTTCTACTATCTATGCTTGTGCATTGAACTCCATTCACAATTTGGGAGCCCCAGAAGCTTGCCGTGTCGCCTCGGGCACGCTCCGGAGGGTCTGGGCCGCGGGCCCTCCTCTTTGGCGAACCTCGGGGGTTTTGGACGGACGCTCCCGAGCCCCAGCTCCGCCGTCCGCGCCTTGAGCAGTCGCCTGCGCCTCCTTCTAGATGCGCGTTTGATTTTCTAATCAATCTCTTTGTCCCCTGCGGCCTTCACCCGAGTCTCCAGTTTCCCCGTTTCCCTCGGCCCCCGCCTGGGTCCAGCTCTCGCCCGACTTTCCCGTCGAAGGCACTCGAGTGAGTGATTCCCGGGAGCCGAGGCCGAGGCCGGCGGGTCCGCGGCGCGGGCCGGAGCTGTATGGAAATGGCCAGAGGAGCCGGCGGGCGCGGCGGCGATTTATTCTGGGAGTGACAGCCCCTTTGAGCGCTCGGCGAATGGCATTTTCTGTCTGTGAAAGCCTTTCTTCCCACCTCTGTTCAGATTAGCCCGGGGGATGAATGCACCCATTATCCAGCCCGCTGACCATTCTGAAACGCCAAATTAATTACTAAGCACTGAATCAGGCGCCGGGGCCGGGGCACCGGGAGGTGTGAAAATAGCGAGCGGCTGGAGATGGGGAAAGCGAGGGGTGCAGCGCCGAGGGGGCCGGGCGGGGTGGCCCGGGGCGCGGGCGCGGCAGGGCCGGGGCTGGCTTGGCCGGCCGCCGAGCGCGACCTGCCGGCGTGACCGTGCGCGACCGCGGGGCCAGCGGGCTACAAAGGACCCGGGCGGGCAGGAAGGCGCGGAGCCGGGGTCGCGGCCCGGAGCAGGCTGGGGCTCGCCGGGACCGCGGCCAGAGCGCGCCAAGTGCGCAGGACGCGGGGCTGGGGCTCTGGCGTGCGCCCCTCGCCGCGCACCAGTGCCTACTTTTCCACGCACCGCCCGGGATGGCCGCCCCCAGACGGCCCCGGCCCGCGGCCACCCCCGCCATCCCCGCGCAGGCTCTACGCCGCTCCAGCTGCCCTCCGAGGCCTTCAAGAAAACTTGGGCGCCGCCCTCCGACCGCAGCCCCAGCCAGAGCTTCCCGAGCGCGGGGCAGCCGCGGGCCGCCCCCACCCGGCCGCGACTCGGGATCCGCGGGTGGCACTTACCTCCCCGAGGCGCCGGCGGCAGCGGGAGGCGAGCTCTCCGCGGCTCCCGTTCGAGTGCGCGGGGCACGGAGGAGCGCGCGCCTTTAAGACTCTTCCCCGAGACTCCGCCAGGTGGTGTCACGCCGGCCCGGCCCTCGCGGCTCCTCGCCCCGCGGCCACCCGGCTCCCCTGCCCATCGCGGGCAGAACACCAGCCTCCCGCTCGCACCCTGCGCCCCGCCGCTCGGGCTCCAGTGGAGCTGGGCCAAGATAGGATGCGTGTAACTTGGGACACACAACTATCCAACAGAAAGCCACCCAACCTACACACTCTAGCTTTGGTTTGTCTGGGAGTTGCAGGGGTCTTTTTGTTTGTCTGTTTGTTTGACCGAGTGCTGGGGGTAAAAATGGGGAGGAGAGAGCTGAGAAGTCTGACCCAAGGACGTGCGATCATGTCCCCACTGCCATCACCAGCGACAAACCTCAATTCCATGCTAACTGGTCTTTTTGCCCTTCATCCAAGATGGTCTGCTGACACGCCTCCCCCAATGACCATTAAAATGACTGAAGAGATAAAATAGAGGGAGAACTGTCGCCACTTAACACTAGGGGAATGCGTCATTCACACTCCTGAAACTTAGAAAAGTTTAAGAGGATCCGAGGGATGGCTGAAGGAACTCCACATTCATCAGGCGAGAAGCAGGAGCCGGCCTGGGAATCCCCAGCACAACACTCCCCCGGCGCGCCTCCTCCAAGCTCTGGGTACGTGTGACAGTTCACCCGCGAGGCCGGCGCCTGGGAATCTCTGCCGAGCTTAAGGCTGCTGGAGGACACAGGTTTGCCGGCATAAACTAGGATCCTAGCTTCAGGCCATTATTAAAATTTTACATCATATGCTTGCTCTTTGAAGAATCATTTTTTGACATTGGCATTGTGATTTCAAACTACGTTCATAATTAACTCAGTTTTTCTCTTTTTTTTGGTAGTGGGTGTGTGTGGGGGTGGGGGGCGGTGGTGGCGCAGGTGTGTGTGGGGGCGGGGGGCGGTGGGGGCGCCGGGCCCTGCTCAGTCATCCTGGCTGGAGTGCAGTACAGTGGCGGGATCATGGCTCACTGCAGCCTTGACCTCCCAGGCTCAAGAGATCCTCCCATCTCAGTCTCCCGAGTAGCTGAAACCACAGGTGCATGCCACCACGCCCGGCTAATTTTTAAAACACTTTTTATTTTGTAGAGACAAGGTCTCAATGAGTTGCCCAGGCTGGTTTGGAACTTCTGGCCTCAAGTGATCCTTCCATCTTGGCCTCTCAAAGTGTTGGGAATACAGGTGTAAGCCACTGCACCCAGCCTTCTAACTCAGTTTTTCTGCCTACATTGTTTATTGTCATTTCATTTACGTAAATGACTTCCTCATTCCTGAGTTCCTTACTTTGATTAATTTCTCACACCACTGAAATGCTACTTTGAGTAAACCTTGGGGGAAGGGTGGATGGACGGTGGATTTTTTGAGTCTTCGCATGTCTCAGATTGTCTGTTACTTTATACACAGACAGTAGTTAGATATAAGAGTCTAGGGTCATAATCCTTTATTTACACTTCAACTCTCTAAAATAGGCATGTTGCTAGCATTAAACAGGGAAGCAAATGTAAAGCACTTACCGTGTTCTGCACCTAAGACGTAGTAGAGGATCCATGACTAACTATTTATGACTATCCTTTATTAGTTATTGATTCATTGTCTGTCTTGTGCTTTTTTTTTTTTTTTTTTTTTTTTGACAGGGCCTTGCTCTGTCCCCAGGCTGGAGCTCAGTGGTGCGATCGCAGTTCACTGAAGCCTTGAACTCTTGGGCCCAAGGGATCCAAACCTTGGTCCAAGATGGTCCACTGACACACCTCCCCCAATAACCATTAAAATGACTGAAGGAATAAATAGAGAACCGTCGCCTCCTGTGTAGCTGGGACCACTGTCATGCCTGGCTAATTTTTCAATTTTTTTGTAGAATCAAAAAATCTTTTTGATTCTTTCTTTTCTTTTTTGATGGAGTCTCGCTCTGTTGCCCAGGCTAGAGTGCAGTGGCGCTATCTTGGCTCACTGCAAGCTCCCCTTCCTGGATTCACGCCATTCTTCGGCCTCAGCCTCCCAAGTAGGTGGGACTACAGGCGCCTGCCACCATGCCCAGCTAATTTTTTGTATTTTTTTTTTTTTTTTTAGTAGAGATGGGGTTTCACCGTGTTAGCCAGGATGGTCTCGATCTCCTGACCTCATGATCCGCCCGCCTCAGCCTCCCAAAGTGCTGGGATTACAGGTGTGAGCCACCGCACCCAGCCTTGATTCTTTCTTTGTTGCCCAGGCGGTCTCAAACTCCTGGACTCAAGTGGTCCTCCTGCCTCAGCCTACCAAAATGTTGGGATTACAGGCATGAGCTGCTGCACCCAGCATCTTCTGGTTTTATGGTTAAAGAAATTTCTCCTAGGTTTTATAGAAGACTCTCTTTCTCTATCTCTCTTTTTATGCCATCTGGCTTTAATTTCCTTTCTTTCTTAAAAGAAAAAAAAATCTATAGGTTCTGTTACTGCCTCCTTTACTAAGTGTGACCTTGAGATAGTTTCTTATTCTCTTAACACGTTCGTTGCTTCTCCTATAAAATGAACAAATTGGACCACATGGTTGTTGTGGTACCATCCAGCTTCAATAGGCTGGGTGTTTATTTGCCTATGATTAAAAAGCAACAGCCCTGCCACAATGAAAAACCAATTCACAATGATTAGGATGGCTGTAATAAAAAAGACAGATAATAACAAGTGTTGGCGAGGATATAGAGAAATTGGAACCCTTATACCTCGTTGGTAAGAATGTAGACTGGTGCAGCCATTGGAAATACTCTGGCAGTTCCTCAAAGGTTAAATGTAAAGTTACATATTTACATATGACCCAGCAACTGCAATGCTAGGAATACATCCAAAAGAAATGAAAACACATGTCCACACAAAAACTTATACACAAATGTTCATAACAGAATTATTCACAATAGCCGTAAACTGGAAACAACCCAAATGTCCATCAACTAATGATTGGATAAATATAATGCAATATATCCATACGATGGAATATTATTCAGCCATTAAGAAGAATAAAGAATTGATACATGCTGCAAAGTGGATGAACCTTGAAAACATTATGCTAAGTGAAAGGAGCCAGTCAAAAAATACGACTGTGGGCCGGGTGCAGTGGCTCATGCCTGTAATCCCAGCACTTTGGGAGGCCGAGGTGGGTGGATCACGAGGTCAAGAGATCGAGACCATCCTGGTCAATATGGTTAAACCCCACCTCTACTAAAAAATACAAAGATTAGCTGGGCACGGTGGTGCGCGCCTGTAGTCCCAGCTACTCAGGAGGCTGGGGCAGGAGAATCTCTTCAACCTGGGAGGCGGAGGTTGCAGTGAGCCGAGATCACGCCATTGCACTGCAGCCTGGCGACACAGCGAGACTCCATCTCAAAAAAACATACAAACAAACAACAACAACAACAAAAAAAAATTGTATGGTTCCAGTTATAATGAAATGTCCAAAATAGGCAAATCCATAAAGACACAAAGTAGATTTGTGGTTGCCAGGGCTAGAGATAGGAGTTGGGGGTAACGGGGAATGAATTCTAATAGTAACCTGGTTTCCTTTAGGGGTGATAAAATTGATTACAGTGATGGTTGCAGAACTCTGTGAATATATTAAAAACAATTGAATTGTAAATTTTAAATGGATGAATTTTATGGTATATGAATATCTCAACACAGATGTTATATAAATAAAAATACTTATTGAACATTCAATACCTGTCAGGTCCTGGGGTAAATACTGGTGACACAGAAGTGAACAGGGAATGTGTACTTTTCCTTCACGAAGCTTGCAACATAATTAGGGATTCAGCCATTCTAGAGCCCTTCATTGCCAAAAGAATGAAACACCCTCCTCACACAGTAGGCACAAAGATTGCCATGGTCCATACAATGGCAAGACTCTTCTAGATCTTACCATGTCCTAATACTAGGTACTCTCTTTCTAGTCCTCCTCTTCTTCTTTTTTTTTTTTGAGATGGAGTTTCGCTCTTGTTGCCCAGGCTGGAGTGCAATGGAGCAATCTTGGCTCACTGAAATCTCTGCCTCCTGGGTTCAAGCGATTCATCTGCCTCAGCCTCCCGAGTAGCTAGGATTACAGGCATGCGCCACCACGCCCAGCTAATTTTGTATTTTTAGTAGAGACAGGGTTTCTCCATGTTGGTCAGGTTGGTCTCGAACTCCCGACCTCAGGTGATCCGCCCACCTTGGCCTCCCAAAGTGCTGGAATTACAGGTGTGAGCCACTGAGCACACCATCCTTTCTCTCTGTCTTTGTAACCCTACTGCCCTGAAAGAGATGGCTGAAGGCAGCCCTATGTTCACAGTACAGCCTTTGACTCTCAGAATAGTGTCTCCCAAGAGAGCAGCTACTTGCAAGTCCATAGCAGACTGATTAATTTTTTAATTGTATTATTATTTTTTGAGACAGGGTCTCACTCTGTTATCCAGGCTGGAGTGCAGTGCTGCAATCTCAGCTCACTGCAACTTCCATCTCAGGGCCCAAGTGATCCTCCCACCTCAGCCTCCAAAGTAGCTGGGACTACAGCTGTGTGCCACCATGCCCAGCTTATAGCAGGGTGATTAAAAGCAGCAACTGTGGAGCCAGTCCACTAGGCTTCAAATCCCAGCTCTGCCTCTCTACTCACTACTTGCCTCGGTTTCCTCATGGGCAAAAAGGAGATAACAGTGACTATATGTCATAAAGATTTTGTGAGTTCTGCAGGAGTTAATGCACTTATAGGCACCCTATAAGTGCATTAGCTGATAATATTCATGTTATTATTGCCTACCCATCTGCAAATGAAGGTGCCTCAACCCATCTCACCGATCTGCTACTTTCCCGTAGTCCACCAGGTGGCGCAGGCGCACCACCTCGGGCAACAAAAATGGCCCCCAGGTGGCTCGCACAGTAAATGCTGGGCTTGGAGAAACGATACAAATAGTTTGCTAGTGATGTGGGTCCATCTGTGAGTTATATATAACGATATCAACTATAATGGAACAAATTTTTTCTAATCAGCTCCACTCACTAAAAAAAGTTTTCTTCTATTTAGAGAAAATAGTGGATGTCTACAAATAAAGGGCATGGTTTGGGTAAAGCGTTAGCTCCATGTGGACTCATGTACTGCCATCCAACCAAGGCAGTGATGCACCTGTCTGAGTTTTTCCACAGCATCATCCTCTTTTTTTGTAACAAATATTCTATAACACACCCTTGGCTGGGCGCGGTGGCTCACGCCTGTAATCTCAGCACTTTGGGAGGCCGAGGCAGGCAGATCACTTCAGGTCAGGAGTTTGAGAACAGCCTGGCCAACTTGGTGAAACCCCAACTCTACTAAAAATACAAAAATTAGCCAGGCGTGGTGGCGGGCACCTGTAATCCCAGCTACTTGGGGGCTGAGGCAGGAGAATCGCCTGAACCCGGGAGACAGAGGTTGCAGTGAGCCAAGATTGCGCCACTGCACTCCAGCCTGGACGACAGGGCGAGACTCCATCTCAAAAAAATAAATAATTAAAAACAATAAAATATATAACACACCCCTTTATCATATTGCCTTCCAACATCCATAATTTCCTCCACTATATCAACACAATATGAAGAAGAAGAAGCCAAGTATAATAAAATAACATGGGCTGGGCACAGTGGCTCACACCTGTAATCCCGTCATTTTTGGGAGGCCGAGGCAGGTGGATTGCTTGAGGTCAGGAGTTCGAGATCAGCCTGGACAACATGGTGAAACCCTGTCCCTACTAAAAATACAAAAAATTAGCCGGATGTGGTGGCACACACCTATAGTCCTAGCTACTCAAGAGGCTGAGGCAGGAGAATCACTTGAACAAGGGAGGCAGAGGTTGCAGTGAGCCGAGATTGTGCCACTGCACTCCAGCCTGGGTGATAGAGTGAGGCTCCGTCTCAAAAATAAATAAATAAAATAAAATAACACACATTCCAATATGTAAATGCTTGGGCACAACTATGTTAGATGACATATTGAAGTAGTCAGCTGCTTGCACCTAGGTGTAGCATTACCAAGAACACCATAGTAACAAATGAGGTCTGATAGAGATGTGTTGCTCTGGTAATTCCAACACCTAGAGCACCTAGAGTGGCATTGCCCCAGGTAACGTGATTTTCCAAAGTAGGCAACAGCACTTGGTAAAGTTGCCTTCCTGGAAACTGCAGTGTATGTTAAAATTGTGAAAACCTAACCAAACCAAACCTTTGTGTACATAAACAAAATAAAGGTAGGCTCTGAGCACAGATTATATTTTATCTACATGAATATCCAGTGGGGTATCTAAAAGTTGTAGGGGAAGGCTGACAACCCTTTCCTGTGCACAATGGTTGCTTACATGCATTGACGACATATAGTACCTCTGGTCCCTGACAACTAAATGGTAGTAGTGACTGCCAATCACTATGACAGCCAAAGCCACGACCCCCCAAATCTCTAAATGAACAATAGCATCTCCATTGAGAACCACTAGTCCAGGGTCAAAATCCCTTTGGACATGTCTACCAAAGCTGGCACTTGGTCTGCTTGAGGCTAAACTTGTAAAATACATTTGATTTGTTCTAGCTGTCACAAATACACTTGCCAAGACTCAAAGGGGGCTATAGAGAGAGGGAGGCTGTGGGATGGGGCCTTTTCCTCTGAGTATCTCCCTTCGTATTAGCTTTTTGTCCAGAAAGCACAGACCCAAGGGAAGCTGGCCTCATGTGCCAATCTGAGGCACAACCCTGTGGTCTTTTTGAGGCTTTTCCTGAAACCCAGCTGGGAAGTAAATCAGTACAGACATAATCCTGATTTTAGCCACAGGGGCCAGGGCCTCTGACCAAACCCCTGGCTTAGGAGAATTTCCTGCTATACATTTGCTTGGCATGTCAATCTCAAACTATTCTTGCTCTGCCCTCTCAGGGATGGGGTTAGTGAGACCATGGCTCCTTGGGATGAGGTTTTGACGTTGGCATGTGCAGACTTGCTCACTGGGCTCCATTAATTATATTCACCTCCACCTGCTACAGGGCTTTTTCCGGTCCGTACATCTGGCCCTTCCTTTCTCTCTGCAGTTCTAGCACCTCCCTGCCCCCTTCAGCTTTCGGCTTGCTTGTCTCGAGAGGCAGGTATGACATGACCCAATCCCCTCGCTGGTATTCCTGGAATTCAGCTGGTTTAGCAAAGCAAGGATGAAGTCCCTCCTGAGCAGGGCAGCTGCATCTTTCCGTACACATTCCATCACTTCTGCCAATTGATGTCTCCAGGCCAGCTGGTCATCTACAACATGGATTTTGATCCTCAAGAATTCCCTCCCAGACTCCCTGGCCTGAAAAGGGCAGCTGAAGGGCCCAGAAGCCCTTCATCAGAAGCCCATCATCAAACAAAGGGGTCAGAAGCCTGTGACTTTGGATTTCTGCCATTAGACAAGAGTCCAGATGGCCTCTGACCCAGGCATCCATGCACCTGCAGCTGTAAACCTATGTGGTTTATCCAGTGCACAGACATTTATTGACCACCTTTGGTATGCCAGGCACTATGGACACAGCAGGAACCAGACAGACACAGTCCCTGCTCTCCTAAGGTTTACGGTCTACAGGGAAAGGCAGGCAGATGTTCAATAAACTGTAACACAAACAGCTGTGCAATTGCAACTATGATGAGCATTACAAGGAAGTGCAGGGGCCATGTGACAGAGTATAACAAAGGCTGGGTAGGCTAGGGGCCTGGGACGTGGGGGCATCGCTGAGGAAGTGACATTTAAGTTGAAACATGAGGGAAGAGAAGGTGTTACCCAGGTGAAGAGAGTGGGAAAGAGCCTTCCCAGCGCGGGGAACAGCAGAGGTGAAAACTCTAATCTGGAAGGCAGCTTGACATGATCAAGAAATCACAATAGTTGTCAGGTATTGATTGCTCCCTATATGCCCAGCCTGTTCTAAGAGCTTTCTTTACAAGTATAGTTTTTCTAATGGCCACCGTGCTAAGAAATAAGGAACTAGCATCCTCATTTTACAAATGAGGAAACTGAGGCACAGAGAGGTTAAGTAATTGCCCCCAAATCCCACAGCTATAAAATGAGGGAGCTACAAATTGAGGCACAGAGAGGTTACCATTGGATCCAGGTAGTCTGACTCCAGAGACGGTATCCTTAACCCCTATGTCAGAATCCCCTGTGAAGATAAAAAGTCATGATGTCATAGCAGCAATATGTATTGTTGGACATGTATAAAGTGGCTGATGAAACCACATTCATAGTAGAAGGGTATATTAACTACGTCTTCTTGTTTTCTGTATTCTTGATGCTTTGGGGTCTGGGGTTTGCTGATCCTGGAGGGACTGTCCCTTCCAGGGTTAGTTAATCCCTAGAGATGGCAAAGACTACGCTGTGAGCACACCTTTGATATGCAAACCAACCAATCCAGAGCCCACACCCAAACTCTCACGACTTGTCCTAGTCACCCCAGGGCCAAGTGTCAGACAACTAGAGAAATCCCCTATACCTTGGAGCCCGCCAAAATTACTCACACTTGCCAATCCTAAACCTTGCCTTGCCTGCCTTTCCCTCCGAAACCATAGTTAAGGCCCCTGCCCTGATTTCCTCTTGTTCCTTCTGCCTCTTGCCCAACCCTGGGCTCCCCCGTGTGGCCCTGTGTGGCATGGCATGTCCCTTCCACTCCGGAACTGTGAGTAGCAAACTCTTTTTTCAATGGTAGTTGTCTCCTGATCTGCTGTCCTCGGCATTACCTGAATAATAAGACAACCTACATTTTTTTTTTTTTTTTTTGAGACAGAGTCTTGGTCTTATTGCTGAGGCTGGAGTGCAATAGCAAGATCTCGGCTCACTGCAACCTCCACCTCCTGGGTTCAAGCAATTCTCCTGCCTCAGCCTTCCGAATGGCTGGGGTTACAGGCACCCACCACCACACGTGGCTAATTTTTTTGTATTTTTAGTGGAAACGGGGTTTCATCATGTTGGCCAAGCTGGTCTCAAACTCCTGACCTCAGGTGATCCACCCACCTCAGCCTCCCAAAGTGCTGGGATTACAGGCATGAGCTGCTGCACCCAGCCAACACAACCTATATTTTAAAACAAAGGGATCCTTGGATGTTTAGCTGAGGCTCAGGGAGGGGAAGCCCAGAAGTGGAATTAAACCCCAGGTCTCCAGGCTCTTGCCCTGATGCATGTTTTACTATGCTTCCCAGGAAGGTCATGAGGGAGGGACAGGGACAAGTTTGGGGTGAAAAGGAATAAACCTTGTTTTTTGAGACAGGGTTTCACTCTATCACTCAGGCTGGAATACAGTGGCTCAATCACAGCTCTCTGCGTCCTCCCCTTCCTGGACTCAGGCCATCCTCCCACCTCAGCCTTCCAAGTAGCTGGGCTAAATGTGTGTGCCACCACACCTGGCTTTTTTTTTTTTTTTTTTTGTAGCAATGAGGTCTTGCTATGTTGCCAAGGCTGGGAAATCAGACTCTTTCTTTAAAAAGGGAAAAAGAATCTGATTTGTAGGAGCAAACAGAGTCATGATGGGAGAAAGAAAGTGGAGTTGGTGTTTGGGTAAGTGGAGGCAAGGAGAGAAAGAATTTTATTCATTTTATCAATTTCATACCAATTATTAATAATAGCAAAATCTTACTTGGTACTTACTATGGGCCGGGTACTCTTCTAGGTGCTTTCTGTGTAGCATGTCATTTAACCCAAATAACAACCCTATAAGGTCAGGGCTATTATCTCCACTTGGGAGACGAGGAAACTGAGGCATGGATTCTAAATGACTCACCTAAAGTTAAACGGAACCTAAGTAAGTGGCAGGGTTGGGTTTTCTTTTCTTTGAGACAGAGTCTTGCTCTGTCACCCAGGCTGGAGTGCAGTGGCATGATCTCTGCTCACTGCAACCTCCGTCTCCTGGGTTCAAGCAATTCTCCTGCCTCAGCCTCCCGAGTAGCTGGGACTACCAGCTCATGCCACCACGCCTAGTTAATTTTTGTACTTTTTTTAGTAGGGATGGGATTTCAACATGTTGGCTGGGATGGTCTCAATCTCCTGACCTCGTGATCAAGGTCTCCCAAAGTGCCAGGATTACAGGTGTGAGCCACTGTGCCTGGTCGGGTCTGTCTGTCTTTCTCTTTTCTTTCTTTTGTTTCTCTTTCTTTCTTTCTTTCTTTCTTTCTTTCTTTCTTTCTTTCATTCTTTCTTTCTTTCATTCTTTCTTTCTCTTTCTTTCTTCTTTCTTTCTTTTCTTTTCTTTCTTTCTTTCTTTTTTCTTCCTCCTTTCCTTTCCTTTTTTTTTTGAGACGGAGTCTCACTCTGTCACCCAGGCTGGAGCTCACTGCAACCTCCACCTTCTGGGTTCAAGCAATTCTCCTGCCTCAGCCTCCCCAGTAGCTGAGATTACAAGCATGCGCCACCATGCCTGGCAAATTTTTGTATTTTTAGTAGAGATGGGGTTTCACCATGTTGGCCAGGCTGGTCTCAAACTCCTGGCCTCACGCAATCCACCCCACTGGACCTCCCAAAGTGCTGGGATTACAGGTGTGAGCCACCACGCCCGGCCTCAGGGGTGGGTTTTCTGATTCAAGTTGTCTGGAGTCTCCTTTGTCACTCTGTCACACTGCCCCTCGAGTGGTTTCAAAGCTGGCTCTCCTACCAGTGCAAGCACAAGGTGGGAATAGCAGACTCTTGCTGTTTTGCCTACAGAGGATGATGTAGCAATATCATCAAACTCTGCCCAGAAAGAAAGTTATTTCCACTCTCATCCTGAGAGGAATCAGGCAAGACATCTGTGAACGCTCGGCAGCTCTGACTACCACGGTGTCTCAGCCCAAGATTCAGGTAACTTGCAGACCATTATCCAATTCTGCTGGGCCCCCAATTATGGAGGGGAGAAAGGCTGGTGGCCCTCCTCAGGTTTCATCAGGACCTGCCTGGCTGCCCACCAACCACAGAAGGAAGCCGGGCAGGGCCTGAGGAGTCTGCTCAGAACCAGAGCCTGCAGTGTCTTGTGGGTTCTTGCTGGCCCCGATGGCCTAGAGTCAGGACTGTGGTTACTGCAAGGACCTAGGCTCAGGTGCTGTGAGTGGTACCCACTGGGCCGTACACCCCTCTGAGTGCTGGTGGTCAGAGGATTCACTGAGGAGGCCTCTGCATGAGTTATAGATGGTCACACCAAGAGTTGCACCTCCACTGTCAACAGGATGTGCTTGTGAGGGTTTGGAGGTGGCTGGGAGGCCAGGAGGAGATGTTCCAGGGCTGTGAGTTCTGAAGCCCGCCAGAGAAAAGGGCAAAGAGACTCAAGGAGTTCACCCTCTCTCCTCTGGAGGAGCAAACGCCTCTTCCTAAAATACCAGCACCCCCTAGTGGCAGTCGGTGTCCATTTACACCTCAGGGTTCTTAACCCGGAGTCCCTGAACTTTGAGAGGAAAAAGATATGCATCTAATTTTTCACTCATCTTCAACTGAAATTTAGCATTTCCATGAATAATCAATGTAGGCAACACATCACAGTAGTGTCAACAAACAGTACTTGTGATTTTGTCACCAATAAATTTACAGGTATTTTTTACATCACATTACAGCAGTTGGAGGTAACTCAAAATGTCATTTGCATCTGTCGCTATTTGGAAATTATGCCAGTTATTAGTTCCGCCACGAGATCGTGTTATTTAATGCATTAATAAAGAAGCACATTTATTACTAGATTTCCAATTTGATTTATTTATGTTAAAGCTGTAATATAATTGTTACGGTATAATTGGTTTCCTTTATAATCCTGCTTATTTTGTTTTACAGATTTAAAACATTAATCTGGCCGGGTGCGGTGGCTCACGCCTGTAATCCCAGCACTTTGGGAGGCCGAAGTGGGCGGATCACGAGGTCAGGAGGTCGAGACCATCCTGACTAACATGGTGAAACCCTGTCTCTACTAAAAATACAAAAAATTAGCCGGGGGTGGTGGCGGGCGCCTGTAGTCCCAGCTACTCGGGAGGCTGAGGCAGGAGAATGGCCTGAACCCGGGAGGCGGAGCTTGCAGTGAGCTGAGATCCCGCCACTGCACTCCAGCCTGAGCAAACAAAACAAAACAAAAAAAATAAAACATTATCCTGAAATGAGGTCCATGGGCTTTACTGGGCTGCCAAAGGGGTCCATGACTTAAAAATGGTGAAAGACCCTGCCTCAGAAGGAGCAGGTTTAATCAAATCTTCTTCTGCCACCAAGGCAGGCTCTGCAGTTGTGGGATTCAGAACAGCCCAGAACCAAGGAAAGTTGGGCTGGGGATGGGTGACAACGACAATGTTTTACCTTAGACTGATTATCTGTTGACCCAGTGGTTTGAATTGAGAGGCATCCTTATTCAGAACCCCTAAATCCTGCTGATGTTGGTGCACTGGGGAGGCAGCGGGACTTCTCCCAACGGGCAACAAATGTTGTCAGTGAGTTTGCCTTTTGAAAAAAATGGTAAAATACTATGGTGAGCCAGGGTGGAGTCTACTAGAACTAGGCAGTATCACCTTCAGGAAACAAAATGGTTTCTAGGTCAAAGAGGCGTATAACATTGTGTATGTTGATATAAAGAAAAAAGATGCCTACTTTTTTTTTTTTTTTTTTTTTTTTTTTTGAGATGGAGTCTCGCTCTGTCACCCAGGCTGGAGTGCAGTGGTGAAATCTTGGCTCACCGCAACTTCAGTCTCCTGGGTTCAAGCGATTCTCCTGCCTCAGCCTCCCCAGTAGCTGGAACTATAGGCTCGTGCCACCATGCCCAGCTAATTTTTTGTATTTTTAGTGGAGACGGGGCTTCACCGTGTCAGCCAGGCTGGTCTCCATCTCCTGACCTCATGATCCGCCTGCCTCAGCTTCCCAAAGTGCTGGGATTACAGGCGTGAGCCACCGCGTCTGGCCAAAAGATGCCTACTTTTAAAGAACATTAAAAATTCTTTTTACTGTAGACTGCAAATACATTTAGAAAGGGCACATAGCATGCATGTATGGTTTAATAAATAATTATAAAATTTGGAATGACCACCAGGAAATAAAATGCCACTCCCTCTCCCAACAAGCCTGCCATGGACTTCTCCCTGATCATAATGCTACCCCTTTCCAAGAGACTGCCACTCTCTGAACTTCTGTGGTTTCAACTTGTAGATTACTAATGAGATTGTGCATCTTTTTATAAGTTGATTGGCTATGAATTTTTTTTCTGTGAAATGCAAGTTTATGTCTTTTGCCTATTTTCTACTCAGATGTTTTCTTTAACTTATTGATTTATAAGAGTATCTTATCTATTTGGGGTGTTAAATGTCAGTTATATGTGTTGGAAACATATTCTCCAAGTTTAGGGTTTGTGGTTTTTTTGTGTGTGTGTGTTTTTTTTTTGAGATGGAGTCTTGGTCTGTTGCCCAGGCTGGAGTGCAGTGGCGTGATCTCGGCTCACTGCAAGCTCCACCTCCCGGGTTCACGCCATTCTCCTGCCTCAGCCTCCCGAGTAGCTGGGACTATAGGCGCCCACCACCACGCCTGGCTAATTTTTTTGTATTTTTAGTAGAGACAGGGTTTCACCGTGTTAGCCAGGATGGTCTTGATCTCCTGACCTCGTGATCCGCCCGCCTCGGCCTCCCAAGGTGCTGGGATTACAGGCGTGAGCCACCGTGCCCGGCCCTATGGGGTTTGTGTTTTTACATTTTGTTGTCGTTGGTGTTGTTGCCCAGGCTGGAGTGCAATGGCATGATCTTGGCTCACTGTAACCTCCGCCTCCCGAGTTCAAGTGATTCTCCTACCTCAGCCTCCCAAGTAGCTGGGATTACAGGCATGTACCACCATGCCCGGGTAACTTTGCATTTTTAGTAGAGAAAAGGTTTCTCCATGTTGGTCAGGCTGGTCTTGAACTCCTGACCTCAGGTGATCTGCCCACCTCAGCCTCCCAAAGTGCTGGGATTACCAGCGTGAGCCACCGCACCCGGCCTTTTCATCTGTATTTTCTTTTCAATGTTTTAAAGTTTTGTTTTTCACATTTAAGTATTTAATCCATCTGAGGAACTTCTGCTTTAAAGTAGAATGCAAGAAACTAGTGATAAGTTTCTGTTGTAACAGCTTGAAACACTAGATAAATTATAATAATTGTATTAGTCTGTTCTCACACTGCTAATAAAGACATAACTGAGACTGGGTAATTTATAAAGGAAAGAGGTTTAATGGACTCACAGTTCCACATGGCTGAGGAGGCCTCACAATCATGGCAGGAGGCAAAGGAGGAGCAAAGTCACATCTTACATGGATAGTGGCAGGCAAGAAAAGAGAATTTGTGCAGGGAAACTCCCCTTTATAAAACCATCAGATCTCATGAGACTTATTCACTATCATAAGAGCAGCATGAGAAAGACCTGCCCCCATGATTCATTATCTCCAACTGGGTCCCTCCCACAACACATGAGAATTATGGGAGCTACAATTCAAGATGAGATTTTGGTGGGGACACAGCCAAACCATATCAATAATCATATTTTTAAATGCATCAATGATCTGGGAAAGCAAATAAAATTAGATTAACTAAAAAAAGGAAGAATGTTGCTTAGGTGAGCCAAGATCAACAGCCTCTTTGGTCCAAAGGACATTTGCTGAATCTAAGCACAAAGTTAGGGTCAGGATTGCCATAGGGAGAGGTTTCTAATAGGGGAATGAAAAATCAGCAAAGTCAGATTTTTCTGACTTTCTCAAATCCGAAACATATTTGGACAGACATTTCACCAAAGAGTATCTACAATGGCAAATAAGCACATGAAAAGATGTTCGGTACCATTAGTCACTGGGGAAATGCAAAGTAAATCCACATTAAGTACCAATAGCAAATGTTAGTGAGAAGGTGGAACACTTGGAACCCAGACCTATTGGTAAGAATGTAAAACAATACAACTGGCTTGGAAAACAGTTTGGCAGTTTCTTAAAGTGTTAAACATACATCTACCACATAATCAGCCATTTTTCTTGTAGATATTCGCCAAAGGAAGATGAAAGCATGTGTTCATGCCAAGACTTATATATGAATATTCATAGCAGATTTATTTGTAATAGACAAAAACTGAAAAAAAAAACAACTAAATGTCCATCAAAGGTAAATAGATAAATTAGGGTAAATCTATACAACAAAATATTATTTAGCAATAAAAAGGATGGAGTTATTTTATTTTATTTTGGAGAGGGTCTCGCCCTGTTGCCTAGGCTGGAGTGCAGTGGGGTGATCATGGCTCACTGCAGCCTCCACCTCCTCAGCTGGCTCAAGTGATCCTCCTGCCTCAGCCTCCTGAGTAGCTGGGACTATAGGTGCACACCACCACACCCAGCTAATTTTTAATTTTTTTTTGTAGAGGCAAGGTCTTACTATGTTGCCTAGGTTGGTCTTGAACTCCTGGGCTAAAGCCATCCTCCTGCCTCAGACTCCCAAACTGTTGGGATTACAGGCTTGGTCCGCCACACCCAGCCAGGATGGACTTTTGACACATTCAACAGCATGGTGAATCTCAAAACAATTAAGATGAATGAAGGCATCTAGACAAAGAAGAGTACATACTATATGATTCCATTTATTTAAAATTCTAAAATTCTAGAAAATGAAAACTAATCTATAGTAACAGAAAGCAGGTCAGTGGTTGCCTAGAGGCAGTGGATGGATGGGAGGAAGGGACTAGAAAGGGCCACAAGAAACCTTCTGGGAGTAAAGGACGTTCATTATCTTGATTGTGGAGATGTATTTTCATGGGTCTATATGTATGGCCAAAGTTCTCAAATTGCACTGTTTACATATGTGCACTTTATTGTATATCAATTATATCTCGATAAAGCTGTAAAAAAATTTTTAATCCTACAAAGAAAACTCTAGGCCCAGATGATGTTACAGATAAATTATTTCAAACATCTAAGGAAGAAACAGTACTAATATTACATAAACTCTTTAATAGCATAGAGGAAGAGGAAACACTTTAAAAAATAATAATAATAATGGAGATAGGCTCTTGCTATGTTGGCCAGGCTGGTCTTGAACTCCTGGGCTCAAACCATACTCCCACCTTGGCCTCCCAAAGTGCTGGGATTACAGGTGTGAGCCACTATGCCCAGCTGGAAACACATTCTAAGTCTTTTTGTGAGGCTAGTATAACTGGATACTAGAACCTGACAAAGACGTTACAGAAAGAGAGAATAACAGGACAAATTCTGTCATGAATATAGATGCAAAGTTCTAAACAAAATGTTAACAAATTCAACCCACAGTGTACAAGTAAGATAATGCATATGACAAAGTGGAGTATTTTCTAGGATTGGAAAATTGGTTTAATATTAAAAGATCAACCAATGAAATTCACCATGAAACAATACAAAGGATAAAAAGACATATGATCATCTCAATAGATGCAGAAAAAGCACTGGATAAAATTCAACACTTGTTCAGAATAAAAATTCATCAAACTAGAAAATTTCCGTTAGCTGATAAAGTGTAATTCATATGGAACTAATTTTGTGTTATGTACAAGATAGAAAGGATTCTATTTTATTTTTGTATATGAATTATCAACTATGCCAGCAACATGTATTGAAAGGGCTCCCCCTTTCTCCTCTGACCTGTAATGCCATCTAGGTCTTAAATCATACTTCCACATATGTGCAGATCTATTTCCACTGACCTGCCTATACCTGCACCAGTACCACCCAGTCATAGCTTTAGGACGCATTTTGATCCTTCATAAGGAAAAACCACACCACCACCTCTGCCCACCCACTTCCTTTTTTTTGAGACAGGGTCTCACTCTGTTGCCCAGGCTGGAGTTCAGTGGTGCAATCTTGGCTCACTGCAGCCTCAACCTCCTACCTCAGCCTTCCGAGTAGCTGGGACTACAGGCGTGAGCCACTGTGCCTGGCCACACTTCTTCCTAGGAGTATCTTGTATATTCTCAGTCCCTTGCTCTTCCATATACAGTACTGAAACACCTGAGCAAATTCCACTTACAACTTTGTTGGGATTTTTTCTTGGGGTTGGTCGCATCAGATTTGGTGAGACTTCATTCTTATACTTTGCTATGAGACATGTTTTTCTTTTAACGTGTTTATAAAGACTGATTTAGTCTTTATTTAGTATGTCCAACATCTGGCTTCCTCTGAGACAATTTCTATTGACTTTTATTTCCTGTGTGTGGGATATACTGTTTCTTTGAGTGCCTCATAATTTGTAGTTGAAAACAGGACATTTTACATTTGGAAATCAGATTCACACCCCCTTCCCAGCGTTTGTTGTTGCTGCTGTTTGTTGATATTGTTGTTGCTGCTACTGTTTAGTTTGTTTAGTGGCTTTCCTGTACTAATTCTATGAAGTCTGTATTATTTGTTTTGTGTGGCCAAGGAAGTCTGTGCTCCTTTAGCTTAGTGGTCAGCTAATGTTTAAATAGAGGTTCTTTAAATGCCCAAACCAATTGATCTCCCTGCACTTTGCCAGGGAACTGTGCGTGTGTGTTGACAAACACTCTGATTGCCCTAGTTAGTTTACATCTCTGCCTTAACTTTCACTTCCTGCTTGAGCACATGCCGAAGGTCAGCTTGAGGTGAGAGACTGGGGCCTTGTCAGGTCTTTCACGGGCATGAACATGTGCCTACTCTTCTAGATCTCCAGGACTATGTCAGAGCTTTCCAAAGCCCCCTAGCTCATTTCCCAGATTTTGCCAGAGGCAGCTGCACTGTTAAACAATTGCTGTTGATTGCTTTCAACAAATACTCCAGTAGTAGGGCAAGCTCTGAGTCAGGTCAAATAAAAACATCTGTGAATGGGGCTTTTCCAGGGAATTGCCAGCGCAGTCAAATAGTGACAGTTCTCTGGGATGGGACCTTTGGGGGTGCCCCAAAACCACCTGCCTCCTCCAGTGGCTGCAACATTGCTGCTTTGCACAGCTACCATGGTTGTAAGATTTTCAAGTCTACCTCAGAGCTGGGGAGAGGGAGATGAGAACAGGGGAAGTTAAAAATGCTGCAGAACTCACTGTTCTTACTGAGAGTCAGCATTTTTTCTTGAATAAATGCTCCTGAGATTGTTGCAAGTTTTTGGTTAATTTACAGAGTTCTAAAAAGGTTTTTATTTTATTTATTTTTTATTTTTTTTGCCAGTGTTCTCACTGCTTTTATGGAGGAATGAATTTTGGGGGGTCTCCACTCTGCCGTTTTGGAAGTGCTTCTCCAGGATTGCATTGAATCTTATAGGTCAGTTTGAAGAGAGTTGATATTTTTATAATACATTTTGTCCATAAAATGGGATAACTTGCCAATTATTTCTATGTTTTTCAGTGAAGTTTTACAGTATTCTGTATATTGTCTTGTAAATGTTTTATGTTTACTGTCCTAGCTTATGTTGCAACAATTATCTTGTAATTTAAAAAAATATGTATTTTGTTAGTTGCTGGTGTACAGCAACGGAATCCATTTTTTTGTACAGTGATTCTAGAGCCAGTTATCTTAACTGCCAATCTTATTTCTAATAATTTCTTTCTTTCTTTTGCTCGCTCACTCTTCTTTCTTCTTTCTTTCTTTCTCTCTCTGTCTCTCTCCCTCCCCCTTTCCTTTCCTTTCCTTTCCTTTCCTTTCCTTTCCTTTCCTTTCCTTTCCTTTCCTTTCCTTTTTCCTTTCCTTTCCTTTCCTTTCCTTCTAGATGGAGTTTTGCTCTTGTTGCCCAGGCTGGAGTTCAATGGCGCAGTCTCAGCTCACTGCAATCTCCACCTCCCAGGTTCAAGCGATTCTCCTGCCTAAGCCTTCGTAGTAGCTGGGATTACAGGCATCAGCCACCACACCTAGCTAATTTTTGTATTTTTAGTAGAGACGGGGTTTCACCATGTTGGCCAGGCTGGTCTCAAACTCCTGACCTCAGACAATCCACCTGCCTCAGCCTCCCAAGGTGCTAGGATTTCAGGCATGAGCCATCGTGCTTGGCCTATTTTTAATAATTTCTTTGTGTCTTCTTTTCAGTTTTCTGTATAGACAAGCATATACTCTTTGAATAATGGCCTTTTCTTCTTCCTTTACAATGTTTTTAAATTGTGTTGTTATCTTAATATTCTGGCTGGGGTATCTGATATAATGGTGAATAGAAGTGGTAACAAGGCACATCCTTGTCTTGTGCCTGATCTTTTTTTTTTTGAATCCATATGTGTTTATTTAAAATTAACTGCTCTTGGAAACACCCTGCTCTTCACATGCTTTTTCAAAAATACCTTTGTTGAGAAAAAAGTTACATCCCAAACAAATCACTCATTTAAAGTGGTTTTTAGGATATTCAGAGTTGTGCAACCATCACCCCAATCAGCATTTTCATCACCCCAAAAACAAACCCCATGCCCATTAGCAGTCACTTAACTATTTCTTTCCAACCATCCCTAAGCAGCCACCAGTTGACTTTCTGTCTTTATGAATTTGACTGTTCCAAACATTTCATACAAATGCAATCACACAATACAGGGGTGATTTGCAACTGGCTTGTTTCACTTAGAATAAAGTTTACAAGGTTCATCTATGTTGTAGCTTATGCCTGATATTAAAAAGGATGCTTCGGCCGAGCGTGGTGGCTCATGCCTGTAATCCCTACACTTTGGGAGGCCGAGGTGGGCCGATCACGAAGTCAGGAGATGGAGACCATCCTGGCTAACATGGTGAAACCCCATCTCTACTAAAAATGCAAAAAATTAGCCGGGCGTGGTGGCACGTGCCTGTAATCCCAGCTACTCGGGAAGCTGAGGCAGGAGAATCGCTTGAACCTGGGAGGTGAGGTTGCAATGAGCCGAGATCTCGCCATTGCAACCCAACCTGGGGGACAGAGCGAGACTGTCTCAAAATAAATAAATAAACGAATAAATAGGATTCTTCCTAGTATTTCTTTGTTAAAATTAAGTGTTTATTATAGGCATTTACTAAATACTCTATTTCAGGTTAGGGAAATTCTATTCTTAGTTTTCTAAGAGATTTCCCCCCCGCCCCCAAACACTGATAATTTTATGAAATGCCTTTTAAGCGTCCTGTCGGACTCTTACACGGTTAATATGATGAATGACACCATAGAATTTTCTGCTGCCAAATTACCCTTGCATTCCTGGGTTAAACCCAAGTGGTCATAATGTATAATCATTTTTGGTTTCCTATCTTTGTATCTAGCGTCACAAATAAAATCGGCCTGTAATTTTTATTTCTTCTATCTTTATCTAGTTTGGATATCAAGGTTATGGTGCCCTCATAAAATGAGTTGGGGACTATTCTTTCTTCTTCAGTCATCTGAAAGGGTTTGTACATAATTGGAATGAGCTGGTTTTGTTATTTTTTTTCCAGGAAAAAAATGGCCATTTCATCTAAGTTTTAAAATTTATGAGCCTAATATTATTCACAGTATTATATGTTATTTTCATAATCTCTACTGCATCTGTAGTTATGTCTCTTTTTTGACCCTAATATTATTTACTTGTACTTTCTATTTCTTATCTATCTTGCCAGATATGTGTTTATGTTGTCAAATAACCATTTTTTGGCTTCATTTGGTTCTGACAAATATTTATTATTTCATTAATCATGGCTCTTATTTTTATTATCTCCTTTTTTTAGGAGGTAGGGACTAATCTATTGCCCTTTTTTTTTTCTTTTTTGAGACAGTCTTGCTCTGTCACCCAGGCTGGAGTGCAGTGGTGCAATCTCCGCTCACTGCAACCTCCACCTCCCAGATTCAAGCAATTCTCCTGCCTCAGCCTTCTGAGTAGCTGAGGTTATAGGTGCCCACTACCACACCCAGCTAATTTTTTGTATTTTTAGTAGAGACGGGGTTTCACCATTTCGGCCAGGCTGGCCTCAAACTCCTGACCTCAGGTGATCCACCCGCCTCGGCCTCCCAAAGTGCTGAGATTACAGGTGTGAACCACCGTGCCCAGCCCCTATTGTCCTTTTTCTAACTTCTTAGACAGTTTATTAATTTTCAGCCTTCTTTTCTCAGATTAGCATTTAAGAGGCCACAAATTTCCTTCTATGTATGGCTTTTACTTGTGTCCCACGAGTTTTGATATGTAATATTTTCATCGTCATTCAGTTCTAAGTATTTATTTAACTTATTTTTAGGGATAGGGTCTTGCTATGTTGCCCAGGCTGGAGTACAGTGGCTATTCAGAGGTACCAACATATAGTGCACTACAGCCTTAAACTCCTGGGCTCAAGCAATCCTCCCGCCTCAGCCTCCAGAGTAGCTGGGACTACAGGCATGCACCAATGTGCCCAGCTTCAGTTCTAAGTATTTTTAAAATGTTTCCAGTGTGATTATTTTTCTTTGACCTAGAGGCAATTTAGAAGTGTCCAGTTTTATCATTTAAAACTATTTTTGTTATGGCACTGTGGTCAGAGAATGTGGTCCGCATGACATCAGTTCTCTGAAATTTGTTGAGACTTGATTTGTGGCCTTGCCCGTGATTTATTTCAGTAACTGTTCCAGCTGGGCTTGAGAAGAATATGACTGTTTCTCAATAATTGGGTGTAGGGTTATATATATGATTATCAAATCCAGTTTAATTGTTTTTGATGAAATCTTTTGTTTGTTTGTTTGTTTTGTTTTGAGACAGATTCTCACTGTGTCACCCAGGCTGGAGTACAGTGGCCTGATCTTGGCTCACTGAAACCTCTACCTCCTGGATTCAAGTGATTCTCGTGCCTCAGCCTCCAAAGTAGCTGGGATTACAGGCATGCACCTCCATGCCTGGCTAATTTTTGTATTTGTTAGTAGAGACGAGGTTTCACCATGTTGGCCAGGCTTTTCTCGTGGACACAAGTGATCCACCCACCTTGGCCTCCCAAAGTGCTGAGATTACAGGTGTGAGCCACTGCCCCTGGCCTCTTTTGAGGCATTAATATTTCACAGAGGCTTGTCAAAACCTCACAATGATGATTAATTTCTCAATTTCTCCATGTGGTTCTATTAATTCTTGCTTTATGTAATATTTAGATTTTTAAAATTAGTTTTGTATAAGTTTAAATTTGTTTTATCTGTTGATGAGTTAAAACTGTATCACTATATCATATCTCTACTTCTAATAATACTTGTCTATTTTAATCTGAAATTGACACAGCTAACCACCTTTATTTTAGTTAGTTTTCGCTTGGTATTTCTTTTGCCATCCTTTGGCTTTCAGCACTTTTGTGTCTTCATACCTTAGAAATACCTCTTAGAAACTGCAACTGGCCGGGTGCAGTGGCTCACGCCTGTAATCCCAGCACTTTGGGAGGCAGAGGCGGGCAGATCACTTGAGGTCAGAAGTTCGAGACCAGCCTGGCCAACATGGCGAAACCCCGTCTCTACTAAAAATACAAAAAAAGTAGCCGGGTGTGGTGGCAGGCACCTGTGATCTCAGCTACTCGGGAGGCTGAGGCAGGAGAACCGCTTGAACCCGAGAGGCGGAGGTTGTGGTGAGCTGAGATGGCACCACTGTACTCCAGCCTGGGCGACAGTAAGACTCTATCTCAAAAAAAAAAAAAAAAAAAAAAAAGAAAAGGGAAAAAAAGAGAAAGAAAGAAAGAAACGCAACTAATTGTGTTTTGTACGTTTTCTTCAATCTAACAATCTCTGACTGTTAATGGGTCACTTTATTTCATTATGATTATTGATATATTTTGGCTAGTTCCCAGACTTTTGGCTTCATTTCTATTTGCCCCACTTTTTCTGTTTCTTTTTTCCTCCTTTCTTTCTGTTTTTTTGTAGTATATGTGTATGTGTGTGTATTAGCTTGTTTTTTTTGTTTTGTTTTTGTATGTTTGCTCATTAGGGGAATTTCATTTTCTTGGTTTTCAGTTTGGTTTTGCATTTAACTTTTTAAAATTTTTTTACCATTGCAGTGAGCTGAGATCGCGCCATTGCACTTCAGCCTGAGCAACAGAGCGAGACTCCATCTCAAAAAAAAAAAGAAAAAAAAAAAGATTTGAAGTAGAAAACACACTTATTTTTTCCCCAATGATTAGTTAGTTGCCCCTAATGGTCAGTTGTCCTAACCCATTATTGAGTAATTGATCCTATCTTCTTTAATCTATGTTAAATTCATTCAGATATTTGTGTTTGTTTCTGACAGATCAATTTAGTCCCATTGATCTGTTACACTTCCTCCATCAGCACCACAACCCTGTAACTCTGTGGCTTTACAGAACATCTCCATATCTCAGATGGAAAGTCCTCCCTCATCACTCAACCTTTGAAAAAGTTTCTTGGTTAAATTCACACAATTATTTTTTATGATGAAATATAAAATCATTTTGTCAATCTCCTTCCTTACCCCCAACCCCCCTAAAAGCCTTATTTGGCTTTGGTTGAAACTATATTACATTTTTAAACTCAACTGGGGGAAAATGGACATCTTTTACAATATGATTATATTTTCCAATCCAGATATATGAGATATCTTACCATTTATGCAAGACTTCTTTTGTGTCCCATAGTACAATTGATAAATTTTTAATAACAATGTTATTGAGATATAATTCACATACCCTGTAATTCACCCATTTAAAGTGCACAGTTCAATGGATTTTAGTATGTTTAGTCATGCAACCATCATCACAGTCAACTTTTGAATATTTTATTTCCCCCACATAAATCCCATCCCCATTAGCATTCACTCCCCATTTTCTCCCTACCACCCCAGTCTTTGGCAACACTAATCTACTCTCTGTTTCTATGGTATTGCCTACTCTGAACATTTCTTTTGCTTTTGCTTTTTTTTTTGTTTGTTTTTTTTTTGTTTTTTTTTTTGAGACAGAGTCTTGCTCTGTTGCCCAGGCTGGAGTGCAGTGGCGTGATCTCGGCTCACTGCAACCTCTGCCTCCCAGGTTCAAGCAATTCTCCTGCCTCAGCCTCCTGAGTAGCTGGGATTACGGGCATGCGCCACCATGCCTAATTTTCTTTGTTGTATTTTCAGTAGAGATGGGGTTCACCACGTTGATCAGGCTGGTCTCGAACTCCTGACCTCATGATCCACCCACCTCGGTCTCCCAAAGTGCTGGAATTACAGGTGTGAACCACCGCGCCTGGCCTGAACATTTCATATAAATAAAATCATATAATATGTGGTTCTTTGTAATTGGCTTCTTTCACTTAGCATAGTTTTTTTTTTTTTTTTTTGAGATGGAGTCTCACTCTGTTGCCCAGGCTGGAGTGCACTGGTGCGATCTCAGCTCACTGCAAGCTCCACCTCCTGGGTTCACTCCATTCTCCTGCCTCAGCCTCCCGAGTAGCTGGGACCACAGGCGCCCACCACCACGCCCGGCTAATTTTTTGTATTTTTAGTAGAGACGGGATTTCACCGTGTTAGCCAGGATGGTCTTGATCTCCTGACCTCATGATCCACCTGCCTCAGCCTCCCAAAGTGCTGGGATTACAGGCATGAGCCACCGCACCCGGCCCACTTAGCATACTATTTTTAAGGTTCATTCACATTGCTGTATGTATCAGTACTTCATTTCTCTTTACAACCAAGTAATATCCCATTGCATGGATATACATTGTATTTATCCATTAATCAGTTGAAGGACATGTGTGTTTTTTCAGTTTTGGGCTGTTATGAATAATGCTGCTATAAACATTCATGTACAAGTTTTTGTGTGGACATATGTTCTCATTTATCTTGGGTATATACCTAAGAGAATTGCTGGGTCATATGGTAACAGTATGTTTAACCTTTTCAAGAAATTGACAGAGTATTGTCCAAAGTGATTGTGCCATTTTACATTCCCACAAGGAAATAGGTATGAGAGTTCCAAATTCCCAACATCCTTGTCAACACTTGTTATTATCTGTTTTTTTTTTTTTTTGATAGTGTATGGTATTTCATGGTGGTTTTGACTCGCATTTCTCTGATGATGTTGAGCATTTTTGCACATGCTTGTTGGCTATTTCTATATTTTGTTTGGAGAAGTGTCAATTCAGATCCTTTGCTCATTTTTTAATTAGGTATTTGCCTTTTTATCATTGAGTTATAGTAGTTCTTTACATATTCTAGATTCAGATCCCTTATCATATATATGATTTGCAGTATTTTTCTACTATTTTGTGGGCAATCTTTTCAGTTTCTTGGTGGTGTCCTTGAAGAACAAAATTTTACTTTTCATGGTGTCCACTTTATTTATTTTTTATTTTATTTTATTTTTAGATGGACTCTCGCTCTGTCGCCCAGGCTGGAGTGCAGTGGCGCGATGTTGGCTCACTGCAATCTCTGCCTCTCAGGCTCAAGCGATTCTCCTGCCTTAGCCTCCCGAGTAATTGGGACTACAGGCGTGCGTGTGTCACTACACCTGACTAATTTTTGTATTTTTAATAGAGATGAGGTTTCACATGTTGGCCAAGCTAGTCTCAAACTCCTGACCTCACGTGATCCACCCGCCTCAGCCTCCCAAAGTGCTGGGATTACAGACGTAAGCCACTGCGCCCGACTGATGATAC
The DNA here is from genome assembly GCF_000001405.40 of Homo sapiens. Lineage (NCBI taxonomy): Eukaryota > Metazoa > Chordata > Mammalia > Primates > Hominidae > Homo > Homo sapiens. The sequence continues at coordinate 8,977,595 of NC_000017.11, read as the reverse complement.
CCACTTTATTTTTCTTCTTTTGTTTCTTGGGCTTTTGATGTCATATCTAAGAAACTATTTACTAATCCAAGGACATGAAGATTTACACTTATGTTTTCTTCTATGAGTTTTATAGTTTCAGCTGTGAGCTTTAGGTCTTTGATGCATTTTTGAGTTAATTTTTGTATGTGCTATGTCCTAGGGACCCAATTTTACAATTTTGCATATGGATATTCAGTTGTCTCAGCACTATTTACTGGGATGAATGAGCTCATTTTCTATCTGGTCATTGGTGGTATGTAGAAAATTATTGAATTTCATCTTTTTGTGTCTCCAGCTACTTTGTTGAACTCTCTTATTAGTTCTAGACATTTCTCAGTCCCTTATCTAAGGTTTCTCAGGTAGACAATCATATCACTTACAAATAATGATGAACTTGACTTTTGCTTCCCAAATTTCTGACTCTCTTATCTTTTTGCTTTGAATTTCACAATATTGTTGAAACTATTCAAGTTGTGGGCACCCTTGTTTTATAGGAATTCTTCTGTTATTAAGGACCGTATCTGTCCCTTCATTCCAAGTCATCATTAGCTATCACATTGTCTGCTGGATTGAGATAGATATCATTTATCATGTTGACAAAGTCTCCTTTTATTCCTAACCACAGAGAATTTGCATTAGGGGGCATTTTCTCAGGATAATTATATAGTTTTTCTCCCATGTCCTATTCATGTGATGAACAACATGAATACACTTTTACAGTAATCGCTGTTTGTATAAATGAAGTGTCTTCCAGCCAGTGGGAAGATTACCTCATGTGAACAGAAAGAACTCAGGTTTCACTGGTGCATGCTCCCACCTGTGTAATAGAAAACAGATGTCACAAACTGAAAGCCAGTAGGTCATGTGTAGTTTGGCCTGTAAGACATTTTAGAATACTGTTTTGAATTAGTTGCTAACATTTAAAAATCAGAAGATTTCTCTTATGAATTCCAATTTCCAGTTTCTCTTTTAAAATCATAAGATCTAGCCACACCAATCCTGCATTTCCACATGGCCACCGTGGGTTGGAGCTGAGCCCCAGGGGCTCCTTTTAGTGGTCTCTTCATTTACCTCATTAGCATCCCATCATACCGTATTGTCACCATACCCTATTGTTTCCCACACATCAGAGTCAAGGTTCAGTTGCCAATTTTTGCATTTGTGCAATTTTTAAAAATAATGAAATATTGTTTGTAATCATGTCCAGTAAATGTAGAAAAAAATGAAAGAGGCCAAGAGGGCCAGGTGCTTCTAAGAGAAAAGGGGGAAAGCATATTTCTAGGTAGAAGTAAAGAATATTGCTATATGTTTAATATGCAAAATGTGTCTGCTGAAAGAATAAGACATAAGGGGCTACCAGAAATAAAATCTAAGACTATGGAAAAGCTGTGTTGGGAAAGAGGACCTTGTTGCACTGGGGGGAGAAAAGGACTGACCTTTTAACAGGGTTTATTTCAGAAGGCACAGAGTATAAACAATGCTGTTATGGAATGTCAGAATATATTAAGTGAACACCATCTCACCCCTTCTATCGCTGAGTTTGACCTGCCTGGCCCTTGGGGGTGTTTGAATTTCTGATCCCTGCTCCAGGTCCTCCAGCTTCCTTCAAAGCCTC